>NC_000006.12:6726666-6878181 GCF_000001405.40 Homo sapiens | reverse complement strand
GCCCCAGCCCCGCACCCCACGACAGGCCCCAGTGTGTGATATTCCCCTCCCTGTGTCCAAGTGTTCTCATTGTTCAATTCCCACCTATGAGTGAGAACATGCAGTGTTTGGTTTCCTGTCCTTGTGATAGTTTGCTCAGAATGATGGTTTCCAGCTTCATCCATGTTCCTGCAAAGGACATGAACTCATCCTTTTTTATGGCTGCATAGTATTCCGTGGTGTATATGTGCCACATTTTCTTTATCCAATCTATCATTGATGGACATTTGGGTTGGTTCCAAGTCTTTGCTATTGTGAATAGTGCTGCAATAAACATACGTGTGCATGTGTCTTTATAGCAGCATGATTTATAATCCTTTGGGTATATACCCACTAATGGGATCGCTGGGTCAAATGGTGTTTCTAGTTCTAGATCCTTGAGAAATCACCACACTGTCTTCCACAATGGTTGAATTAATTTACACTCCCACCAACAATGTAAAAGTGTTCCTTTTTCTCCACATCCTCTCCAGCATCTGTTGTTTCCTGACTTTTTAATGATCGCCATTCTAACTGGTGTGAGATGGTATCTCATTGTGGTTTTGATTTGCATTTCTCTGATAACCAGTGATGATGAGCATTTTTTCAAGAAATCACATGAATCTTTAATCTGGGGCTTTAGCTAATGTATCTTGAAAATTTTAGAAGTTGTGAAAAAAATTGAGTTATGGTAAAAATGACCAGCATTAGTAAATATCAGGCTTTATTTGAATGTGCTTTTCTTTGCAGCTAATGACACCTCCTAAGGATGAGTTTTAAGAAGAGCTGCAAAGAATTTTTTATATTTAAAAAAGTGAGGAAAGAGTCTTTTTTAGCATTCAATAATTCTTACAAAAGTTTCCCTTAATTTGCTATCATAATACTAACCCTAGTGAGTGATAAGTTTTCTTTCTTCCTCCCTTCCTTTCTCTCTCTCTGTCTCTGTCTGTATCACACAAACACACACAGACACACACACACACACGCAATTAGGAAGAATAAGAGGTGACTTTGTGGATGAAAAGCTGTTTTTCACTTCCCTCTACCATATAACTGAATTTAGACTATTCCCAAATACCCAAATTTTAATAATGGGTGTTCCTTTAACAAATAAACAAGCAAATATATAATGCCAGGGAAATCTCCAGAACACTCTGAGTTGATGGCGCTGTTATCATCAAAGGGGGCTTCCCTTTTGTTTGCTGCCCTGGAGTTTCCCCATCATGGAATGATGAATTGGAATCAGACATGGGAGAGCAGAAAGGGGGCCTCTCTTGTCTAAAGTGGGAGACAGGCTATCATGAAGGAACTCTGGGGCACCTTCTCAGTCCAACCGCCTTAAGAAAGAGTGCACGTGGAAGATGAGAATCTGCAAGTTGATTCTCTTAAGACTAGCCAAGCTGTGCCTCCCGGAAAGTCTTCAAGAACCCAAAGTTAGGGGGTGCCCAGTGAGTTGGAAGATTATAAGAGTAAAGAAGAATCATGAAGAGGGAAGGCATTTCTCTCTTTTTTTTTTCTTTTTCTCATTTTCCCTTTTTAAGATAAAAAAAGTTCTTAAAATTTACATATATCCTCGGGACTTTTCTTTTAATAGAGATGAGGACTGATTATGTTGCCCAGGCCAGCCTCAAGCGATCCTTCTGCCTTGGACTCCCAGAGTGCTGGGATTACAGGCGTGAGCCACTGTTCCTGGCCTTGGCTGGCATTTCTTAATTAAGGGGAGAGCCTCACCCATGATCACAACTCACCTATATGCAGCAGAATTGGAGAAAACTGTTCAGCAGCTCCCAGAAACTTCCCTGGGGCTTGTGTACTGAGGGGCCATAGAAATTGCTTTCTATAGATTGTAAGCTCTTTGAGGGCAGGTACTTTGTCATATCCTTCTTTCCTATTTCCCCCGAGGGCCCAGGAGTGTGCCAGGCACGTGGGAGTCCTGCACAAACACACAGCAAAAGGCCTTTTCTATTTCATGGAAGTGAAGGACTTGAAGAGTCCTCTAGAGTTCTTCCAGTTCACTCTCTCGTGCACTATGAATGAAATCCAAACCCTTAAAGACAGCTGAGAATTCATCAGAGTTTTAACGAGCAAGAGAAGGATTCCAATAATACCACTTGTTGCCTCATTTCAGAGTCTACCAGACTACAGTTCAGAGATGCTTCCTTATGAGTCACTTAAGTGCCTGTGTGATTTCACTGTAGACTGAGGAGGCTGGTCCCATCACCAGCGCCCTTGACCTCCACAGGTCAGTTATAGCTTTCTTCCCCTCTTCCTTCCTCAGGCTGGTAAATCTTAGTTATTTTTATATCTCAGAAGGGTAGCATATTTTTGGGAGGTGTTCTCATTTACCTTCTCTTATTATGAGCTGGGAGAATTCAAGTTTAAGAGGGAAAAGATTTAAAAAAACTATCATAATAATATAATAATGATAAAGGCCAGGCACAGTAGCTCATTCCTGTAATCCCAGCATTTTGTGAGGCTGAGGAGGGAGGATTCCTTGAGGCCAAGAGTTCAAAGATAGCCTAGGCAACATAGCGAGACCTTGTCTCTATTTAAAAAAAAGTTTTAAAATTAAAAAAAAAAAAAGGAAAAGATGGTTACACCTCTTTCTTTCTTTCCTTTCTTTCTCTCTCTCTCTCTCTTTTTTTTTTTTTTTTTTGAGATGGAGTCTTGCTGTGTTGCCAGGCTGGAGTGCAGTGGTGCAATCTTGGCTCACTGCAACCTCTGCTTCCCAGGTTCAAGCCATTCTCCTGACTCAGCCTCCCAAGTAGCTAGGATTACAGAAGTGCACCACCACACTCAGCTAATTTTTGTATTATTGGTAGAGACAGGGTTTCACCATGTTGGCCAGTCTGGTCTCGAACTCCTGACCTCAGGTGATCCACCCGCCTCGGCCTCCCAAAGTGCTGGAATTACAGGCGTGAGCCACCGCGCCCGGCCACAGCTCTTTCTAACTTAACATCTTTGCTATTCATGGGAAAGTGCTGTATATTTGTTGTTTCCTAATCCTCCCCCTCTCTCATTAAGTGACAGCTGCGTAACCTAATGTCGGCTTTTTCTTAGTCCTCCATGCCCTTGGTGGTAACTGGGCACCAGGCTGCCGAGGAGAAAGATTGTATTTCCCTCGCAGCGGATTGTAGCCCCAAAGATATCAACAGCCATGTTACATGACAGCCAAAGGGAGAGCTGCTTAAAAGACAGTGCTTTTTGTCTTTTCTTTGCCTCTCCTGCTAGTTGCTTGCTTTCAGTTATCTGTTGTTGTGTACCAAGTCACTTCTATAATTAGTGGCTAAAAGCACTATAATTTATTACTTTTTGTGATTCTGTAGCTGGGAAATCTGGGAGGTTTCTCACGCCAGTCTTGCCTGATATCCCAGCTGCTGTTGGATCTAAGATGGCCTCATCCACATGTCTGCCAGCGGGGGCTCCTCAGTTCTTCTCTGGGAAGTGTCTCCTTCTCCCAAAGCCACATGCACCTTATCACAACATGGCAGCCTCAGGGTTTCAAGAGGGAGAGAGAGGAAGCTTCAAGATTGCTTAAGGACTAGGCTCTGTAATTTATACAACGCCACTTCTGTCAAATTCTACTGGCCAAACTGGATTCAAGGGTGAGGAACTAGACCCCACATCTTGATGGAAGAATAGACAGTGTCATTGACATTGCAAAGGGCTTTAAAACAAGGAGGCGTGATTCATTGGAGGACCATTATTAAAAACAATCTGCCGCATCAGTGGCTGGAATATGGACACGATGCTATTAAGTAGAATTTAAGCAGCTGTCTTGGACAAGCTCTGGAGGCCCTGTGCTAAGAAAATTGGAGAAACAACTTGGAAAGAGTCCCTGACACTTTGTGAAGCCTCCTTATGAACCATGGACTGTCTACCTCCAGTGTGGTTTCATTTGAGAGGTCGATAAATGCCTGTATTGTTTAGGCCACTGTCATTTTGGACCTTCTGTCACTTGCAGCCAAATCTAATCCTAACTTACATGCTTTCCAATACTCACCCTCTTACATTTTCAGCTCTACTTACCAGCCGAGGCTACCACCACACAGAGTGTACTGCAGTTTCAGGCTTGGAGAGGAAGGGAGGAAGCCTAACCCTCGGGAGACCCCGTCATGTTTTGATGTCATTGCATGTCCCATTTGGCCAGCCCGGAAAAAATAAAATGAGGAAGGTGAGCAGGAGGGATGTTGCCACGGGACTGAGGAGGTTAGGGGTTGTCATGGGCCTGCCTGAAACATTGCCTGGTCCCATTATTGGTCAATGTCATCTCAGCAATGAACCCAGGGGAGAGCCCAGGAACCACAGTGGCAGGTCTAAGAATGTTCCAGGCAAACTGAAAAAGCCAAACTTGCCCATGCATAGACGCTGTGGATCAGTGGTTCATTTGGATGTGGTCAAAAGTGGGCCTGCTCCCTGATATAATGATAAGCTATGTATCTCGGATTCCATCTGGAAGCCATTTTCAGATTTGCATTATGAAGAGATGATGTTGAGTTGGGGCTCTCTGAACTCATCTGTTTTGCATGTGCACAGGGGTGGGTTTTAGAGATGAACAGCAGCTTTTCTCTTCCCCACTTTTTCTTCAAGTTTGATGGTTAGGTTTGGGCTTTATTTATAACTTGTCACATGGAGAAATACAGCAGGGCACTATTCAGAGGCCATGCAGCATCATATCATTTTACAAATTCCCCACTCGTAATTAGTTTAGGCTGTTTTAAGTCTGCATTTTTTTTTTCTATAATGATATAGTAGACACAAAGTGTTAACTGGAAACAGAAATATTCGCCTCTTTCTCTGTCCCACCCTTACCCCCACCACATCACCTTCCTCTACCCGCCAGGGGGTACCCTGGTAGCATATCTATCCCAGTGACGGGCAAGTCTATCTGGAGGCTTCAGCCACTCTTGGAGGCCAAGGAACCTTGAACGCTTATCTCATCCCTTTGTCTCCTCCCAACAGAATGGCCCACAAACAACCTGGACAGATAGAAGGCTGCTTTTAAAGAAGCTCACAGACACAGCTGATTGATTCTGCGACCTTGCTTTGTTACTCATCTCTGAGTTTAGAGGCTTCACTGCCAGGGACCTTGTCCAGAGTTTCTGAGACCTCCAACAGCCTGTGGTCTCCTGGTCACTCAGACCCTACTGGTGGCTTCAGATGCTGGATCTTGCTGATGTTTGAATTAGCTCTCTGTGAAGGGCATGCTGGTGAGGCCACATACCAGGAAACCATGACAAACAACAGAATTACAGTCTGGTTAAAAAAGAAAATATACATATGCACATATGTATATTCCCCTACCCCAGGGGTTGAGACTTTTTTTGGCATAAATTTACATATATTTTGGCACAAATTTGCATAGAGGTACACGAGAACCTCTCATTTACAGCACTAAAATTTGTATTGTTCCCCTTAGACCCTTGTCACTGGCTGTTACTAATGTACTGAGTTTCACCAGTTTGTCCTCCATTTCCTAGAATTTGTTCTAATTTTTAGGAAATGCTTACTAAATATCACCATTGTGTGTGGTGAAATCCAGCCCTAGAGGACATCAAAAGGTCTCTTGTTAGCTGGTAGCTATTGTTAGGTATTATCTGTAGAGACATCGGGTTTCCTGGAAACATCCCATAGAGCTGTCCAAAAGTATTAATTATTAAATTGGGCCTTTAACTGTATTTATAGAAATTATAATATTACGTTTATATGTATAGAAAAGAGATTATATCTAAGCCTTATATCTGTATAAAAAAAGGATTTTACCAAAAGTACTGGAAGGTGCATTATAGTTACTCTCAAATGTAATATTAGGGATTTATATTTACATATATTTGAGACAGGGTCTCACTCTGCCCAGGCTGGAGTGCAGTGGTGTGATCTCTCGCCTCACTGCAGCCTCCACCTCCTGGGCTCAGGTGATCCTCCCACCTCAGCCTCCCAAGTAGCTGGGATTACAGGCACACTCCACCATGCCTGGCTAATTTTTTATATTTTTTGTAGAGACAGGGTTTTGCCATGTTGCCCAGGCTGATCTCAAACACGTCGGCTCAAGTGATCCTTCCACCTAGGCCTCTCAAAGTGCTAGGAGTACAAGCATGAGCCACCATGCCCAGCCAATATTAGATATTAATCATTGTTCAAGAACAATGTTATCAAACCTACCTGTGAGCTGGGGCAAGTTGTGTCACTCCCCTGGAGCCTCAGTTTCTTCCTCTGGAAACTGAGGGAAACTACACCAAATCTGAGTGTTTCCCTAATCTCAGGCAGCTGACGTCCCCTTTAGAATTTTTGCCATCTTCTCATGTCATTTATACTATTTCTTCATATTTTTCTGGAATTTAATAACTTTTCAACTTAAACTGGCATGATCTACCTTAGCCTAGTCCCAAGCAAAAATCTCTGTGAAACTACGTGTTCGCTGTACTCTTTTTTCTTGCATATTAAAATAAATGCATGACTCTTAAAATGTTTTTAAGGTGCTCGTTTGTATTCACTTGAAATTTTCTCAGGTCCTGCTGCACTTTGAGAATGTGATACAAAAAGCTTCAGTGGTGTGCACGAGGAGCTTGGTATAAGGCCCAGCCCTAGCAGTCATAAATGGTAGCTGAGGCAGAAACAGCTAGGTTCCTACCTCAACATTCTCCTTTCAATACAGTAACGTGCTGACTTTCAGTTGGGCACACAACCGAAACCATTTCCCAGGATTCTTCGCAGCTAGATAGAACCATGTAACTTTATAATATAAATGTAAACATAATATTTTGGACTATGCTTGGACTAAACAAAACATTTAGTAAAGCTGGGCATGGTGGGGTGTGCCTGTAGTCCCAGATACTCTGGAGGTTGACAGGGCAGGAGGATCGCTTGAACCCAGGAGTTTGAGGCTGCAGTGAGCTATGATCTATGATCACGCCACTGCTCTCCAGCCTAAACAACGTAGTGGGACCTTGTCTCTAAAAAAAGAAAATACATTTAAAAATATATTTGGTGAGGTTTCTGAGTATCCCCCTTACGAAAGAGAAGGCATGTACTTCTGCAACTTCCTCCATTCTGCTTACTCAAACTTGAATGGGAGGGCAGCTATTTCAAACCATAAAGATGAGGGCTGTCCCCTAGGGATGGTAGAACTAAGAGCCAGAAAAGACTAAGTTCTCGATAATCATTTGGAACTGCAATAGTGGTCCTGGACTACCTATCTCTAGACTTCTTTTACATAGGGAGAAATATACTTCTCTGTGAAGCCACAACCTTTTAGGATTTTCTGTCACTTGCAGGTGAATATAAATCTGTTGGATACAATATTGTGTGCATGGTAGGTGGGCCGTCAGTGGTGAGCCGGGGCTGCCATTCAGGTAAGAACTGACTGTTAAATTTTCATGAATTTTGCATGCTGGTGAATGTCACGTTGGTAGCCTGAAATTGGCCATGGTGGGAGTATTTACACCACAGGAATTGGCAAATGCTACATACACATCAGGGCTTTATTTCCTCCAAGAGATCTGGTTATTGACTACTTACCATCTACCACCACATCACTGTGGGATTAAGGATTTTATCCACTAAAGTTTGTTCATATAGAGAGGTGATCTGACCTCTTCATTTACCCTCAATTTGTTCAAATTCTAAGTCATGGACTATATCGGACCTAGACTTCCATATTGTCTAATTCTGATCTTGAATGGAGGAAGCTTGAATGTTGCTTATAGGTCTGCTGTGGTCAGTGCTCAAGAGGTCAATAGTAAAAGAGCCTGCTCATCCCTCGCTGTGGGGATAATGATTAGAAGGGATGGGAAATTAGCATTCTGACTTTGCCATCGGGTGTGAGAAGCACTGAAGCTCACATACAAATAATTAACTTGCCAACCAGTTTTTCTTTTTCCTTTTAAAAGGTGGAAGCAGATAAGTTGGGAATAGATACGCCCACATTCAGAATTTACTGCTACAGCACAATTAATTATATTTAAACAACATATGCTGCATATTGATTAAGCACAAATGTAAACCCTTCATATAAATTAAGCTAATGAATTTAACTTTTCCATAGTCAGATCTTATCTTTAGTGATTCTTTTTCATATATTTCTATAGGTATAAAGTTGTCAGGTATAATCACTGTCAAATGGTTAACCATTTGCTTTGATATCCTTTCTGTTCAGTTAGTGTTCATGCGTGGTTTCACCTCAACCCAGGGAGACAGTCTCACACTTTAGGGGATGGATTAGTGTACCTTCATGGGACAGCAGAGGCTTTTGCATAGACGAGTTCTGTTGAAACTCTGGTTTCTCTATGCTTACAGCTGCCTAACCTTACAGTAACTTATTTAACTACTGTATCAGTTATCCATTGCTGCATAACAAATGATCTCAAAACTTAGTGACTTCAAACAACAATTTATTATTTCTCATGATTCTGGGGCTTGACTGACTGATTTTTCTGCTGGTCTTGCCTGGGCTCACCCAGGTCCCTGCATTCAGCTAGTGTCTGGGATGGAACTGTTAACCACAGAGTCTTGGTTTCTTCCCACGTGCCTTTTCTTTTCTTTTCTCTTTTTTTAGAGGGAGTCTCGTTCTGTCGCCCAGGCTGGAGTGCAGTGGCACGATCTCAGCTTACTGCAAGCTCCGCCTCCCAGGTTCACGCCATTCTCCTGCCTCAGCCTCCCCAGTAGCTGGGACTACAGGCGCCCGCCACCACACCCGGCTAATTTTTTGTATTTTCAGTAGAGACGGGGTTTCACGGTGTTAATCAGGATAATCTCGATCTCCTGACCTTGTGATCCACCCACCTCAGTCTCCCAAAGTGCTGCGATTACAGGCGTGAGCCACAGCGCCTGGCCCATGTAAAGCTTGAGCTTCCTTATAGCCTGGTGGCCTCAGGATTCAAGAGGGAGAAAGCAGAAGCTGCTGGTCTGCTGAAGGCCGGAGCTCAGAAGTCCCAGAGTACCTGCTCCTGCCTGATTGTGTGGTGAGAGCAAGTCAAAGACTCACAGGGAGGAGAAATAGGCCCCATCTCATGGTGGCAGGAGCTCTGCATGTCAGGGATGAGAGGAATTTTTGGCAGCTATATTTTCAGGCAACTGGCGATAACCCCTTTGAATCTCAATGCCTTTATTTGTGAAAAGGGGAAAATACATATTTTGCAAAGTTATTGTGAAAATTCAATGAAATAATGTGTAAGAAACTACTGACATAAACCTGATACATGCGATAGCTGCTCAATAAATGGCAGCTCCCCCTTCCTGCTCTTTCTTTGGGAGCTACTCAGATGTGGCCGCCTGCGGGGCTTCTATCCTGCGTCCGGTCTCTACCTCCCGGGCACACACAGGCCCAAGGCTTTGCGGACGTCTCAGATGTCTACAGATTGGGACGGATGATGTGAATTCTGAATATCAAAGCTGGAGGCTGTACGCTTGTTTGGGGGTCCTTGATGATGGGGCAGATATAAGGGGTGGCACAGAAGAGGGTATTAAGAGTGGGGTCTAGGAGCCCCATGTGAAGGGGTGTCCAGCAGATGCGGGAAAACACAGAGGCAGTCACTGTTATGCCTGGAACCTGCCTGAGAACCTTCTGCTGCCTTCTGATCTTAAAGAAGTAAAAGAAAATTCACCATGGCTCTCGGCAGGTGTGTGGCAGCGGGAGAAGAAAGAGAGAGAGTGAGAGAGAGAGAGAGACGTCTCCCCTCAGGGGATATTGAACAATGTCTGGAGACATATTTGGTCATGACCACTTTGGTTATCACAGCAGGGGGAGGGTTGCATCTAGTGGGTAAGACTAGGGATGCTAGTACCCACAGTACCCAGGACAGCCCCCACCATAAAGAATCTTCTAGGCCGAGGTCGAGAAACTCTTCTTTACAGCTATCCTGATTTCTGCTGGAGAAAGAGAAGGTGCCCTGCCCATTCCCCACCCACCATCAGATGAGATGTCCCTGACAGTTTGAAAACTCCTTTAACATTAGACAGGTATGGTGATGCGTTCCTGTAACTCGGGAGGTTGAGGCAGGAGGATTGCTTGAGCCCAGGAGTTCGAAACCAGCCTGGGCAACATAGTGAGACCTCATCTCTACCAAAAATTACAAAAATTAGCTGGGTTTAGGTCTACATGCCTGTAGTCCCAGTTACTCAGGAGGCTGAGGAGAGTGGATTGCTTGAGCCCAGGAGGTTGAGGCTGCAGTGAGCTGTGATCGTGCCACTGCACTCCAGCCTGGGCAACAGAGAGACACCCTGTCTCAAAAAATATAAAAATAAAAAAGTCCTTTAACAAGATACAATTTTTTCCATACCCTAATTAATAGAGTTAAAATTCTATTCACAGACTTCCATAGTGTGGGCCTCTGCATGCATGTGTTATGGTCAAAGGAGCTAGAAAGATAGAGGGAAGATGATTCTGGGTGGCACGGATTCAGTTATAACAAGAGTTTAACAGAGTTAATATCTATCGAGTCCTCACTGCATCTCAGGCCCTGGGCTGAACACATCAGGCACGTTTCTGATGTCAGCAGCCTGGTGGCCAAAGTTTTGTAGCCCACAGGACACACTCCACTTGAATATTTAAGTATTAATTACTTCCCTGGTGGGTGGGAACACCTTCCCTGGGTGCACTGTCTACAATTTACATAGAATATTGGGATGGGGTAGGGCTTACATGTCTTCTTGTGATTTATTTATTTTTAACAGCTTCATTGAGATATAATTCACATACCATCCAATGCCCCAGCTTCAAGTATATAATTCAATGGGTTATTAGCATAGCCACGGAGCTGTGTAACTATCACAATTGACTTTAGAGCATCTTCATCACCCTAAAAAGAAATTCCAGTATGATTTCAATTATATGGCATTCTGGAAAAGGCAAAACTATGCAGAGCGTAAAGGTTGGTGGTGGTTGCCGGGGGTTGGCTGGAGGGAGGCATGACTACACACAGTACAGGGCTTTTTAAGGGGGTGAAACTGCTGTGCATGACATCACGGTGCTGGATCCATGTCATGACACACACGTCAGAGCCCATAGAATGAACTGCACCAAGAGTAAACCCTGATGTCAACGATGAACTTTGGTGCTGATGATTAGCAATGTAGGTCCATCTATTCTAACAAATGGACCACTGTGGTGGGGGATGTGGATTATGGGGAAGGCTGTGTGGGGTGGGGGACAGCGGATATCTCTGTACCTTCCTCTCAGTTTCTCTGTGAGCCAAAAACTGCTCTAAAAAACAGTCTTTAAAAAGAAAAGAGATCCCATGCCTATGAGCAGCCACTCCTGTTCCCTCCTCCCCCAGCCCCAGCAACCACTAATTACTTTCTGTCTCTGTGGATTTGCCTATTCTGGACACTTCATGTGAATGGAATCATACACTATGTAGTCTTTTGTGGCTGGTTTCTTTCACTTAATGTTTTCAACGTTCATCCATGTTATGACATGTCTCCAAACATCATTACTTTTTTTCTTTTTCTTTTTTTTTCTTTTTGCCAAATGTAGTTCATTATATAGATATAGCACATTTTATTTATCCATTCAGCAGTTGATAAACACTTGGGTTGTTTTCACTTTTTGACTCTTATGAATGAATAAAGCCATTCTGAATATTTATGTGTAAGTTTTTGTGTGGAGTATGTTTTTATTTATTTTAGATATACCTAGGATTGGAATTGCTGGGTCATATGATTTAACCTGTTGAGGAACAACCAGACTGATTTTTAAAGCATCTACACCATTCTGTACTCCCACCAGCAATGAACAAGGGTTCCAATTCCTCCATATCCTGGCAAACACTTGCTATTATCTGTCTTTTTTCTAATTTTTTAATTTTTATTTTATTTTAGCTACTTCTGGTTACTTCTTGCTACATTAAAAAAAAAATTCTGGACCCCGCATGGTGGCTCACGCCTGTAATGCCAGCACTTTGGGAGGCCGAGGCGGGCGGATCACGAGGTCAGGAGATCGAGACCATCCTGGCTAACACAGTGAAACCCCGTCTCTACTAAAAATACAAAAAATTAGCCAGGCGTGGTGGCAGTCACCTGTAGTCCCAGCTACTCGGGAGGCTGAGTCAGGAGAAAGGCGTGAACCTGGGAGGCAGAGCTTGCAGTGAGCCGAGATCGCGCTACTGCACTCCAACCTGGGTGACAGAGCGAGTCTCCGACTCAAAAAAAAAAAAAAAATTCTGCTCAGTTCTGAATCTCACATCTTGCCTCTCATGTCTCTTCTCTACTTTCTGATTCACATTAAGTCAACAGAGTCCAATTTTTTGTCTTGTCCCCAAAGACAGTCGCATGTGGTAGATTTGCCAAATGATTTGGGGCTGCCAGTGGGAGTGGCTGGGGAGAGTCACTCCCATGCAGCACAGGGACAACTTAAAAGGAAGTGCTCATTTCTTGCAAGTTTCTTGCCATTGCAGACACGGGGACTTGTCTCGCTGGCCAGCTTTCCTCTTCAGAAGCGTGGCCTCCTTCCCTGTGCTGGTCCCCTCTCCCCCTCCACTGTCATTCATTTCTGGACCCTTGACCCATGCCCAAGGACTCACAATTCTTCCCATTCTGTCACGCAGAACTTGGTGGCTCCCCCATCTCACCCTTACCGCAGCAGCCTTAGCACAACCAACATATCTGATGCGTTGCTAAACTGGGTAGTTTCTTTGAGAGGAATTTGCCACCAGCTTTTTACCCCTGAAAAATTCCACACAATCAAAAGCAAAAAGGGCACATGATTCGATATTTCACCCGCTAACAAAGTTATAGAATAAAGAAAAAAATCTCTCTCTTCTCATCCCGGCCCACTCCCTAAAAGGGGCCATGATTAACTATCTGTTGGGTGTTCTCCACCTCTCTCAGGAAACTGTATGCCAGGCACACACATGTGTGTAGCATAAGTCATGATGGACATTGGTCTGCAACTTCCGTTTTTCACTTAATACGTTATGGACACATTTTCATGCCAGCTTCGTCCCTTTTAATAGCCTGGGCAGTCCATGACATATATTCACTATAATTTACTCTTTCATTTCCCTAATGACGGGCATGTAGGTTGTTTCCAAGCACCTCCTCTGAGAGGTACCTTTGCCTACCAGGACTAGGGCTAGGATAAGGCGGATGAGCATCTCAGGCACACCTAGGACACTTGCACAACCCTGAAAATGAATGCCTTCTCACATTTTGCCCTGGAGGCCTTCCTCTCCTGTTTCACCTGAGTCCTGGCCCTATTACCTACTGTGTTGCAAGCTTGCCTAGAGATAGATGGAATGAACTAGGGTTCTAATCTTCCCCTAAGTTATTCCTATTTATTGAGTTGTTTATCCTTTCCCCACTGAACCAAAATAGAACCTTATTCTATATTAAATTCTTACATATACTTGAGTTATTTGGGGTTATTTTATTACATTAATCCACTTACATTTACTATGCGAGAACCATATTGTTTTGGTTGTAACAGCTTTACAGTGCATTTTAATATACAACAGGGCAAAGATCTTATTGCATACTAATCTTTTTATAAAACTTCTGGGCAATTGTTGAAAATCTATTCTTTTGTATGAATTTTAGAATCATTTTGACCCATTCCACAAGTTTGTAAACTAACTTTAAAAAAAAAAGTCTAGCTCAGGCTTAGCTCAGCCTTCTGTAACAGAATAGCACAGTCCGAGTGATTTAAGCAACAAACATTTATTTCTCACCATTCTGAAGGCTGGCAAGCCCAAGATCAAAGTGCTGGCAGACCTGGTATCCGGGGAGGGCCCACTTCCTGGTGCGCAAATAGCCATCTTCATTGTATCTTCATATGGCCAAGAGAGCAGAGGTCAGGAGCAAGCTCTAGAATTGCTTTTTCATAAGGGCACTAATTCCATTCATGAAGGCTCTGCTCTCATGACCTAATAACCTCCCAAAGGCCCCACCTCCAAATACCATCAAGCTGAGGGTTAGGGTTTCAATTTGGGGGAATCTTGGGGAGACACACACATTCAGTCCATAACAAAAAGTCATGCACCATTTCCTTCAGTCTCACACTGACCTGATGAGTAAGCACTATAGATGAGGAAACCGATGCTCAGAAAAGTAACGTATAATGCAGTAGCTTTCAGTATAGTATAGAAGAGAAAAATGTAGTCAATAAGTCTTAAAATGTCAATAAGTCTTTTAACTCCAAAACATGTTCCCAGACATCCTTAAATGCTATAGAGACAATAATGAGTGAACGATCACAGACTCTGTGCATGGCAACCATGATTTTAGATCTTCAATGGGGAAGGAGTGTGGCTGATGGGACAGTCCTTGCCACCGCATGGTGGAATCTGTCACCATGACTGTGTGGAGGTCGTGCTTCTCACTGGCTGCTCCCAGTCAAGGATCTCCTGCAGCGGAACAGCAGACACAGCTGAGGGGCAGACTGACAATCTGATTATTAGAGTCACTGAGCTCCAGAGTCATTGGGAAGCTCAGTTCCTGTGAAGTTAAGGGCTCTGATGGGCAAAACCCGGGACCCTGAAACACAGATCCAGGGCTGAAGGAGTAGAAACAGGAATGCCTTACCATCCCTCCTGGTGACTCACTGGGAGATTCTGTGTTCCTGGTTCTCACAATTATGAGCTCTCTATGGGGTTAGAAGTCCTGGTGATAGTGAGGAACTGTAAGTTATGGCTGCCACGAGGACACCTTGGATTTGTGTCCGGGATCAGTGAGTGAGAAGAGTCACCAACGGGCAAGTGTTAGCCACCCTGACTGGAAGGAGGAGGAAGGGCTCCTTTTAAACAACGGGAAGGAGAGATTCATGTGGGACCCAGGGATCCACTTGGGTGCTTCTTGGGACCTTCTGCCTCATAGCAACTATGACTAGACACTCCTTGCAACCCCAGAATAAGAAGGGTATCAGGACCTTGCATGAATGAGGATAAGGTCACACTACCAGGTAAACAACCAGGACCTGCCAGGGTGAGAGCTGAGGGTGAAGGGAACTCAAACCGGAGAGTGGAGGAGGGAGACGACAGATATGGGTTTGGCCCCAAGATCAACCACAGTTTGGGGGCTGTAATTTGTCTTACTTTCTTCTTCTGAGTTTTCTTTAGGGAAGAGGGATACATGGGACCACGGGGGCTGCAACTTGCAACTGTGGAGAGAAGCAGTTACGTGGCATGTTATGGATTGAACTGTGCCCCCAAAATTCACATGTTGAAATCCTAACCCAAGCACCTCAGAATGTGACCGTATTCGGAGGCACAGCCTGTAAAGAAGGGGCCTAAGGTGAAAAGATGTCATTGGGGGGGCCCTACTCCTATAGGACTGGTATCCTTATAGGAAGAGGAGGTGAGGACACAGACACACACAGAAAGAAGACCATGTGAAAACACAGGGAGAAGGTGGCATCTGTATGCCAAGAACAGAGGCCTCAGAGGAAACCAACCCTGTGACACCTGGATCTTGGACTTCCAGCCCCTGGAACTGTGAGAAAATGAAGTTCTGGTGTTGAAGGCACCCAGGCTGTGGAACTTTGTTATGGCAGCCCTAGCAGACTAATATATGGCACAAGGAGAGGACCGTGGTGCCAAGAAAAATGTGCCTGTCACTTCTCCAGCTGACGTGCCCTGGCTACCATGCTCTGAAATCTACCCTGGAACTCTGCGTGTGTGAGGCCAGGCTTCCCACAGGCTGCTCCCAGCCAGGGAAGAGTACAGCAGGGATACTGAGGCAGGCCTGTTCCCTAGAGCCCGCAACTTTGGCTCTCCATCAGCTTGGCTGAAACTGTACTGCAGCGTCAGACTCTTCCTACCCAACCTTCCTCCCTTCCCTCTCCTGCACGAGGCCACCAGGCTGCTGCCTGGTCTCCTGGCTCTCCCAACCTCCTCTAGTTCCCTCTTCACTTTCTCTTACAACTTTTTCCCTAAAGACATCTCTTGCAGGTTCAATCTACCCTCTGAGTCTGCTTCTTAGAAGACCTGGGCTAATGGACTTAGTGAGTTAGTCCTCCCTACTTGCACCCATTTCACAGATGAGGAAGTTGGGGCCCAGTTTACAGAATTTTATCGGAGCCACCCCTCTCTGACTGCACACACCCACCAAGATAAGAAGCACTTTTACAGGCGGGCTCTGTTTGCTCAAACTGTATTTTATAATTATTACTATGAAAAAAGAAGAGTGTCTTTGAGAATTTACCTTTAGATAGCAAATTCCTATACCCCTTCTCCGATTTACTCACCCCTTGGTACTTATTTCTAACATTCTATAATATTTTACTTGTTTATCTTTATTGTCTGACACATTGCTACTGAGGGAATGAGTGAATTACCTCAAAATGTACCATCATCCTCACTGCTCACAAAGTTGGATAGCAAAGGTCAGTGAAAATTTCCCCCAGCTTGGCATTTACGTTGCTTCATTTAAGTGATTGTTCACTTCTCTGTGAGCACTTCTACATTGGAAGCTCCGTGAGAGCAGATTAGAATGAATGAATGAATGAATGACCTGGAATCACCCTGGGTTGTGTCTGGATCGTTTGGGTGGGACTCTGTGAGCCTTGTCCTCCTCATTCTGCTCCTATTGCTAATTGTAGAGAGGTGGTAGCAGCTCTCCAGACTGAAAAGGATCTGGATGGTTTCAGTGATGGAGGCAGCAGATTATCTGGGCTGAGCTCAAAGTCCCATGCAAATGAAGGTGAGTAAGAACCTAGGTAAGAACCATGTGTTCAGCGGAGCAATCGTCCAGCTCAGCCATTAGGATGGGATCAGGACATCATTATATTAAAAAAAAAAAAAAAAAAAGAAAGAAAAGAAAAATCCTGGAAGGACTCCCTAGCCCACACCACTCAGGGAAGCAGTGCACGAGGCTTCAGTTGATGATTTAAACAGCAGGGCTCTTGTGCTGGGGAAATAGTCCTGGAGGTGGGAGCTAGAGTTGAGGCAAGGCTGGGAAGGAGGGAGGTGAGAATATCCCCAGAAAGTAGATAGGGGCTCAGACTTGTGGCGTTGGGGCAGGGGGCCCCGCTGACCAGGGCTGGGCCCACCCGTGATGAAGGAGATAAAGTGACCCAGTGCTGCATGTGTGAGTGGCAGCCGCAGCGATGAAGGAGACAAAGTGACCCAGTGCTGCATGTGTGAGTGGCAGCCGCCCCAGGACTGTGTCTGCAGGGGAATCCCTTCCTGTTCCTGCTCTTGCTCAAAGGCATGGGGCTGGATCAGCGCCTTGTGGAGTTTGTGGAGTTTGGGCCTCTGTCTCAAATGTTACTGAACAACCAACTTAGCTTCGGCTGCATGTGGGTGCTTGGTGACATTTACTTTTTGTTTGTTTGTCTTTTTGAGATGAAGTCTCACTTTGTTGCCCGGGCTGGAGTGCAGTGATACAATTTCGGCTCACTGTAACCTCCGCCACCCGGATTCAAGCGATTCTCCTGTCTTAGCCTCCCGAGTAGCTGGGATTACAGGCACCCGTCACCATGCCCAGCTAATTTTTGTATTTCTAGTAGGGACGGGGTTTCACCATGTCGTCCAGGCAGGTCTCGAATTCCTGACCTCAGGCGATCTGCCTGCCTCGGCCTCCCAAAGTGCTGGGATTACAGGCGTGGGGCACCGAGCCCGGTCTGACATTGACTTTTTGAAGTCAAAGTATGACAAGTTTGCAGCATTAGCTTTCAGTGAGATCCCGCAGGACCAAGGTCATATGGAAACTTCTGCCAAAGTAAACCCCTTTCGCCTTCTTCAAATTCTTTACAAAAAAAAAAAAAGCTTAATTTCAGGTTAAAAAAGTACATGTTATTATTATTATTATTTAAAGAGACAGAGTCTCGCTGTCTAGCCCAGGCTAGAGTGCAGTGGTGTGAGCATAGCTCACTGCAGCCTCCAACTCCTGGGCTCAAGCAATCCTCCTGCCACAGCCTCCTGAGTAGCTGGGACTACAGGTGCACGCTGCCTTGCCTGGTTAAAAAATACATGTTAATGTTGACAGACTTTATACTTAATATTTTTAGATGGGATGACTTAAGAGGCATAAAAAGAAAATTAATCCCTTCCTTCCTTCCTTCCCTCCCTCCCTCCCTCCCTCCTTGCCTTCCTTCTATTGAATGTGTAATAGGTAGGCTATCCAGAGACAGGCGGAGCCAGTGGCCTATCTTTAAGAAGGAAAACATGGAAGGGGTAGAGAAGTTAAAGCACTCACCGAAGATTTTTCCAGCTATTACGTGAGTGGCCACCCCAGTTCTGTCCAACACTGCAGCCACTGGCCATGCCGGGCTCTCAAGCACCTGAAATGTGCCTTGTCATAATCAAGATACGCTGTCATTGTAACAAACACACTGGATTTTGAGGATTTAGAGTGAAAAGGAATGCAAAATTGCCCATTAACAATTGTTTTACTATTAACTATATGTTCAAATGCTATTTTGGTTACACTGAGGTAAATAAAATATATTGTTGATATTAATTTTATCTGTTACTTTTCTTAGAACATGGCTACTAGAAAATTTAAAATCCTGTGCATGACTTGTATTATATTTCTATTGGACAGGGCCGGGCTACACATTTAGAGCCCATAATCATAAACAGCAGGGCTTGCTTTCATAATTTTCTTGGAAACTAAGGTATCAACTCTTTATGTATTTTGTCTAGATTCAAAATGCTGTATACAGAGAGCCTTGAAGAGTTGATAAATCTAGGGCTTTCTGTTGGAAAGCTGGAATTTGTTTTCCCCCAAAGGGAAAACATTAGATGACATCAGGCATATATGTACAGGAATTGAGGATGGAAGCAGGGGGGTGTCAGTCCGATATTAATAATTCCGGAGTGAACGTAGAAAGGCATTCAGCATCTGAAGAAAGGCCTGCAGTGGAAGCAGGAAATCTGAGTTTTAGCGTTCCTTCTGCCACTCAGAGGAGGAGCTGAGAAAAAGCACCACGGGTGACAATGCAAGGTCTGCACACATGGGAGTCCCCAGGACCAAGTCTCCAAGGCCTGGGGGAGCAAGTGCAGATGAGAGCATTTTAATTCCAATTTTATAAGGAAAAACAGAATTTCCTGAATAGAATGCCCCTGAACTCCTTTGAGCATGGAGCTCACCAAGGTTTAGGAAACTTGTTAAAAAAGCAAAACTAAGACAAAGAACGCCTCATTATTGTGGTCAGACTCCTCCCCTCCTGCATAGGATTCACTGGAACGTGAATTACAATCTATCAGTTTCACTGTTGTCTCCCCACCAAGAGCCTGCGTGTATAATAAACCCGTGGAGTACTCATACAAGGTGTGATGAGCAGAAGCGCACAAGATTATGTTTATGGGGCGCCTGGAGGACCCAGAGGCTGAGAGTTAGGGCAGCCTATAGGAGAAACAGTCTGTTCTCTCTCCGGTCTCATTTTGCATTTTGGAGTCATTAACCCAGACACTACATTATTTAACCACGTGAGACGGTCTTTCGGGTCTGATTTGAAATCTACAAAAATGAGGAAGCCAAGGGATGAAAATGCAAGGTCATGCTTTAAGCCTGTGTAACATTCAAGGGACTTTCTCCCTAGGAAAGAAAACAGTTGGGCTAGTACGCCCTTCAGATGCTCCAACGTTGAGTTTCCTTTTGTGAAGGATTTAAACCAGATTGTTGCTTTTACTTGAGTTGTGCTGATTATAAATACTTAAATTCCACGACGTATTTTAATTTTCAATGTGCACGATGTCCAGCAAGGAGAATTCTGTCCAACATTTTTTTCCCTGTCCAACACCTAAAGGCTATTCATACCAAGTCAGGCCGTAACTCCACAACTGCATTTCAGCATATCTCCTGTTTACCTTGTACAGTAGTATAGTAATCTGAAATAATTTATACTAGGTGCTTATCTATTATACTTTATACATAAAAAACAAAGACAATTTAGAGAAATAACTTACTACATATTTTGAACGAAACGCCCTGGGATGTGGTGGGGTAGAACAACAAAAATAAAAGAGAAATTTTTAAATCTGAAGGGAATTTTATCCTGAAATATAGATTTTTAGATAGATTCGAAGCAAAGAGGATAATGTGTCATGCTATCTTTTTTCTTTTGTCACAGCTATTTTTAATCTTGATTGGTTCAGAAGTTGAGGCATCCTGAAATTCTACTGGGTCCAGTCATAGCTGCATATACAATATACACCCTTCCCTTTGTTGGCTGTATGGGCATCTTTTTTCATTTCTTGATCTTTTCTCTAGTTGTTGCTTACAACACATCATAGTCAGACGATCAAGATTTATCCTCTCGGAATTTCTCTTAATAGTTCAACTGCTGGAGTCAGACAATTGAGTTCAAGTCTCACTTGCAAGCTCTGTGACCTTGAGCAAGTTCACCAGTCTTTCTAAATCTCATCTGTTAAATAGGCATAATAATGGTGCCAACTCACAGGGCTGGTGAGGATTAAAAGAGATTATTCACATAATGCCCTTAGCCCGGTGTCTGGCACTCAGTAAATTGTGACTGTATTTATCTCTCCTCTGCCAACCTCACCCTGCCTTCATACAGAGCCGTGCCTCCAGGGTGATCGGAAGCCTCAGCACCAGCATCCCCAGCAGCCTGTAAGAAATGCAAGTTTTCCATCCCACCTCGGACCCACACAGTCATCCCTGGGAGATCTATGTGTGGGACAAGTGTCAGAGGCACCCTACACTAGATTCTAGCTTCCTTCCACCTCCGGGTGGTTCTGCACACCAGCTCACACTTTGCTCTCAGGTCCTGCCCCACCTCATTCCTGGGAACAGTCCGGCTGCAGGTGTGGAAAGAGATGGAGGTAGATTCTGGGAAAGGGCTGTTGACTCAGTACTTCTGGATGGACCAAGGGCGTGGAGGGTATTTGGCCCATCCCTGCCTCAAGCACAGCCAGCAGAAAGGGGAACTGAAAGGAATTTCTGAGTATG
Organism: Homo sapiens; assembly: GCF_000001405.40. NCBI lineage: Eukaryota > Metazoa > Chordata > Mammalia > Primates > Hominidae > Homo > Homo sapiens. The sequence goes on along the minus strand of NC_000006.12, from coordinate 6,857,316 downwards.
CCTCAAGGAAGCCAGGGGAATTAAGCAAGCCCTTGGGGGAGGGGAAGGGCCTGAATCCCTGAATAAAGGTGAGGCAAGTCGGCTCTGGGATGCAAGCTTCCCAGTAAGGCTGCAACGGGATGCCCAGCTCCCTGATCAGCAGCTCTCCCTCTCCGTCACTCCACACCCTTCCGCCAGCCCCAGGGGACAGCGGCTGCATGTCCCAGCTGCACTGCCTGCTTTCCTCCACAGCTGTACCGGGAAGACAGTCCAGCCCCCACCCGTCACTCCTCTGACAAACGTTTGCCCTGGTCACCACGTATCTGGGTCATAACCAACAGATCTGCTTATTTGCCTCATATGGAAAGTTGTGAGCTCACTCAGGCCAGGATTTCAGTCATTCCTGCAACCACTATTTACCAAGTACACTGTGGCCAGGCTTCATCTGGGGGCCAGGATACAGCTGAGAACAAGGCAGACGAGGACCACAGCTAGCACCCCTTGTCCCGGCAGACTCATCCCACCAGCGGGGCTCGACTGATCCCCTTGCCTCTGCTCTCCCTCCCTAGGCTCCACCTACTCAGAAGTCCTCGGGCAGCATTTAAGGACACGAATCACCTGACTTCACTGCGGGGAAATCCTCTCACGGCATGACTTCCTGTCACAGTAGAATAGAACCCACGCTCCGACCCATGACCTACAGCTCTCAGCATGCTCACTCTAAGAGCTCTGCCAGCTTACAGCCCTCACGTCCTCATGGTGCCAGCAGCCTCCAAACCTGGTCCTGCGACACAGGATCTCTGTTGGTTCCTCATCCTGGGATGCTTTTCCCAGACCCTCCATGTCTAGCTCCTTCCTCCCATTATCTGACAGCTCTGTGGAATGCAACCCCACCCACCCATCATCACTATCTCCCATTCTGCCTTAGTTTCTTCCTTCGTTCTTCCTTTTCTTTTTGACAAGGTCTTGCTCTGTTGCCCAGGCTGGAGTTCAATAGTGCAATCATGGCTCACTGCAGCCTCAACCTCCTTGATCCTTGATCCTCCCATCTCAGCCTCCCAGGTAGCTGGGACCACAGGTGTAAGCCACCAAACCTGGCTAATTTTTGTTGTTGTTGTTTGCGTTTTTGAGAAAGGGTCTCACTCTGTTGCTCCCTGGGTTCAAGTGATTCTCCCATCTGAGCCTCCCGAGTATCTGGGACTATAGGCACGTGCCACTACGCCCGGCTAATTTTTGTTTTTGTTTTTGCTTTTGTTTTTGTTTGAGACTGAGTCTCACTCTGTTGCCCAGGCTGGAGTGTAGTGGTGCAATCTCCACTCACCGCAACCTCCACCTCCTGGGTTCAAGCGATTCTCCTGCCTCAGTCTCCCAAGTAGCTGGGATTACAGGCGCATGCCACTATGCCCGGCTAATTTTTGTATTTTTAGTAGAGATGGGGTTTTGCCATGTTGGCCAGGCTGGTCTTGAACTCCTGACCTCAGGTGATCCACCCACCTCAGCCTCCCAAAGTGCTAGGATTACAGGCATGAGCCACTGCACCCAGCCAGACTTGCTAATTTTTGTATTTTTTTTGTAGAGACGGAGTTTCACTATGTTGCCCAGGCTGGTCTTGAACTTCTGGGCCAAGTGATCTGCCAAAGTGCTGGGATTACATGTGTGAACCACCATGACTGGCCTGCCTTAGTTTTCTTAGTAGTATTTATCCCTGCCTAAAATTCTCTTCGATGACTATTGTCTTACACATGCATTTGTTTACTGATTTCTCTCCTTCCCTAGAACGTACAAGTTCCATGGAAGCAGAGACTTAGTTGGCTTGTTCACCACTCTATCTCCAATGCCTAGATGGTGGCTGGCACTCATGAGGAGCTCAATAAATATATGTTGAATGAATGGATGGAAAATGGTTGGATTTGGAGTTTATAGAATATCTCACTAAATTCTGGTCCTGAGGTCTTTTTTCTCCCACTCCCTCAGTAGAGGCACAGGCTTTTGAGATGGCCAGCAGGCTGCAAATGTGACTCCTTAGTCTCTAAGATTTGTTAGGGTGTCAATGATGGAAATCTAATGATACTTCCTGGCTCTAGTAGAAGTCCTTCAGGACGTCAGAAAATAGATTTAGGGAAAAGTTGCTATTGAATATTAGCCTGGGAGTAATAAACATTCATTGGTAATTTTCTTACAGTACAGATACTATTTTTTTTTTTTGAGACAGAGTCTCACTCTTGATCAGGCTGGAGTGCAGTGGCATGATCGCGGCTCACTGCAACCTCCGCTTGCTGGGTTCAAGTGATTCTCCTGTGCCTCAGCCTCCCCAGTAGCTGGGATTACAGGTCTGTGCTACCAAGCCTGGTTAATTTTTTGTATTTTTAGTAGAGACAGGTTTCGCCTTGTTGGCCAGGCTGGTCTCGAACTCCTGACCTCAGGTGATCAGCCCCCCTCAGCCTTCCAAAGTGTTGGGATTACAGGCATGAGCCACCGCGCCCAGCTCAGATACTACTTTAAAAGGTTTCTACACATTCTTTAAAGGTCAGACAGTAGTATAGGATGGGTTCATTTTAAGTTGTTTGTCAGAAAGTACTGAGTGATTTCAGTAGTGCAGAACCATTGAAGAAAGCAATGGTTTTGGGCAGGTGAGTTTTCCAGTTTAATAAAGCATCAGACTTCTTAACCCTAAAATCAAAATGCAAAGATGAAAGTCTTTTTGACAGAAGAATTCTTATGGAGTAAAATGTTTATATGTACCTACCCTATTATGCTGACTTTCCTGGAGAGTGGTCTGCAGAGAGAGGAAGGGTCTCTGTTTGAAGCCAGAACTAAGGACATGATTCCAGAGACTCTCACATCTATTTCTGATTTTGACTCTGACATGCTTTTGTGAGACCTCCTTTTGTTTTTCTCTTCCTTCCTTCCACTTTTCCTCACTGCTGACATGGAAATTTTAAAAGTTCCTTCTCTCCACCTGCTGCTTTGAGGTCCCAAAGGGAAATTCAAACAAACTTCTCCTATCCTATTTGCAGTTTCTGCCCCAGACAGATGTTCGTTTAAACAATCAAATACTCTGATGGACCTGCAGGACTGTCCCGTAGGAAGGGCCGCCGAGGATCTTACTTCCCAGTTCTGTGCTTAGGAATTTGGTGCCTGAGAGGCCAAAACCTGAGAGGGAGGTCAGGAGTGAGTTTTTCCATCCCTTCATCACCATGGACACCTGCCTGCAACCTGATGGGTTGGCCCAGCTCTCCTGACAGATCAAGATTTTGAATTGAAGGAGAAAGATCCAAGAAAACAACATGCTCTTCTGTACAGAGGCAAAATCATCTTTTGGAAACACCTCTATGTTAGTCAGTTAGCCCTGGGCTCTAATTCCAGCTCTGTCCTCATTAGCTTTCACCTTGGGCAGTTCTTTATCTAAGGGATAGAAATTAAAAATACTGTCTATGTCCACCTCTTCTCACTGGAATGGATAGTCCATGAAGACAGGGATTTATTTTATTTTTTTCTTCTTCTTTTTTTTTTTGAGACGAAGTTTTGCTCTTGTTGCCTTGGCTGGAGTGCAATGGTGCTATCTCAGCTCACTACAACCTCTGCCGCCCAGGTTCAAGCAATTCTCCTGCCTCAGCCTCCTAGGTAGCTGGGATTACAGGTGTGCACCACGCACCACATCTGGCTAGTTTTTGTATTTTTAGTAGAGACAGGGTTTCACTATATTGATCAGGCTGGTCTCGAACTCCTTACCTCAGGTGATCCACCCACCTCGACCTCCCAAAGTGCTGGGATTACAGGCATGAGGCACCGTGCCTAGCCAAGACAGGGATTTATATGTTTATGGCTTACTGATGGATTCCCAAAGCCTGGAACAGTGCCTGGGATATAGCAGTGCTTAATACTATTTGCTAAATAAATGAACTTCGAGTTTTCCACTTCCCGCTGTTAACTGAGAAGGATAGTGGCATAGTAGAAAGAATACCAGTGGAGCTGGAGCTACTCCTGGAGGAGTGTAGGTACTGGGGCTGTCTTACCCATTTGGAAGGCCCAGCTCACAGCAGGTGCTGTAAGTACTGGGTGAAATGAAGTAAATTCATCATAGAATTGGGAGACTTGAGTTCTAGAGCAGGGATTTAAAAGCTTTTTCTGAATGGGCCACACAGTAAATATTTTTGGCTTTGCAGGCTATACAGTCTATGTTGAAACTACTACAATTCTGCCTTTGTAGCATGTAAGCAGTTACAGACAATACATAAAGAAATGGGCATGTTGTTCTCCAATAACATTTTACAGTTGATTCTTGCACAACGGGAGTTGGAACTGCAGGGGTCTACTTATGTGGACTTTTTTCAACCAAAGATGGATGGAAAATACAGTATTGGTGGGATGGTAAACTCATGTATAAGGAGGGTTGACTTTTCACGTACTCAGGTTCTGCAGGGCTGACTGTGGGACTTGAGTGTCTGCAGATTTGGGGTACATGTGGGGGTCCTGGAACCAATTCCCCATGTATACTAAGGGACTACTATACTGAAGAAGGTGCAACACATTGATTATCATTCTTTAGATCTGTTTTCTTATCTCTAAAATGAGTACTTACATGAATTGTAAATGCTCCCTCCCATCTATCTACTCTGAAATAAAATATATATACAATGTGGGTAAAACAAGAAAGCAATCCCTCCACCAGCTAGGATAGAAATCAGACAATTGTCCCTTTAATAATTTCATGGTAAAGTAAGGGCAAATGAACATGACCTACCAAAGTTACATCCCAAACTGAGCACACTGTCCAAAAACACGTGGTGGCAGATAAAATGGGTCCTTCTGATCAGCTGCCTGGTACAGATGCATAAATGAAAAACAGCAAGAAAGGGCTGCAAGTTACATTTTTTTTTAAAGACTTCCCTCTTCTCCCCCAAATGCAATCAATCGTTATTTTAATTTTTTTCTCATTATTTTTAAACTTTCTTCCCTGAAGTTATTTTATGGGCCATTCCAGCTTGTATCTTATAAGAATTTACTGACTCTTTTACTAAAATACAACGATAACCTTACTTTTTCCCTGTGCACTATCCATACTTTTGGTAATTTATACTCATGTTAGGTTCACTAAATCCTTTATAGTGCTGTTTACGGCAAACCTTACTTTTTATGTTTTACTTTTATGACTCAGCAATCACCAAACCAGCACAATTCTTTCTGATTTTTGCAGAACACTTTATGCTTACGTAATATAAAGATTTTTTACAATGTGCCATTTTAATACTTTGTCAAATCTGCAATACAGCCAAGGAAGCAAGGAGATGAAATTATTACATCATCAGGAGAGTCCTTCTTTGGCCAATCAAATAAACCATTTTCTTTGCCATTTCTAGAAGCTTATGAATATTCCAGATGAATTCAAGTTGCCAGTGGCCCGTGTCTCTCTCATGAGGACATCTCCTTTATAAAGAAGACTGAGGGTTCCTGCTTTTCTTGTGCTTCAAAGAGCTTACCTTTCAGGACTTTGTACCTTGTATTGGCGATAATTCTTTCAGTTGCAGGTTGACAAGAAACCTAATCTAAACAGGCTTAATCAAAAAGGGAATTTAGTCAGGCACAGTAGCTCAAGCCTGTAATCCCAGAACTTTGGGAGGCAGAGACAGGGGGCTTCAGGCCAGGAGTTCGAGAGTAACCTGGGAAACAGAGTAAGACCCCCATCTCTTAAAAAAAAAAAAGAAAAAAAAGAAAAGAAAAGAAAAGAAAAGGGAATTTACTGGCCCTTGTAACCAAGCTTCCCAGGGTAGACTGGGTGTGACTTCCGGTATGACTTTACTCAAGTCTCAAATGATAAAACCCGGCCCTGTTGTCTCTTTTTCTCCAGCATCTGCCTCCTACACAATGGGCTCTTCCTTCACAAGATGGTTGCCAATAGATCTCAAGAAGAGGGGCTCCTGGCTTCAAAACCTGCATAGAAAGTGAAGATCTTTAGCTCAGCATTTCTAGGCAAAGCCTCATTGCATTTCATGGTCTCTGATTGGACTAAGGGCCTATCCCTGAACCAGTCATGGCAGGAGGCTTATGAGATGCTGATTGGCTTAGACCCAGGTCACATGCTTTACACTAGAGCCAGCTGACTCACACAAAGTAAACACCTACGGAGAATCTGGGACAGTTACCAGGGAAAAAGCCAAGATAATGAAGCTGGACAGCCAAAGCAGCTGGTCTTTGCTACCAACGCGGCTGCGTTTTCATGGGGAAGCCAGACTAGAGGAAGTGGAGGAACACATAATTTCTAAGGAATCCTACAAATATGATCACACTTCCTTGGGGGCAGATTTAGCCAGAAGTAGAAGTTCCTAGCTGGCATATCATCAAAATTACTGAGGCATTTAGATTTAGTTGGTTTGAGGCGGGACACACTGAGTGTAATGAATCTGGGTTTTTTTTGTTTTTTTTTTTTGAGATGGAATCTCGCTCTGTCACCAGGCTGGAGTGCAATGGTGCGATCTCCACTCACTGCAAGCTCCGCCTCCAAAGGTTCAAGCGATTCTCCTGCCTCAGCCTCCCAAGTAGCTGGGACTACAGGCACCTGCCACCACACCCAACTAATATTTGTATTTTTAGTGGAGACAGGGTTTCAGCATGTTGGCCAGGATGGTCTCGATCTCTCGTCCTCGTGATCCGCCTGCCTCGGCCTCCCAAAGTGCTGGGATTACAGGCCTGAGCCACTGCGCCCGGCCATTAATCTGTATTTTTAACATGCTTCAGGTGATTCTGAAGATCGGATGGAAGTGGGGATCCCGGGATGTACCCCCGCTGTTTTCAGGGCCAGCTCCAGCACAGGGGCCAAGCAGGCCACTATGTTCCCCATTGCTCTGCCTCCTGAGGTCTGGACTCACGGACTTTTCCGGCAGATCTCTCATGGCTCCTCTATGTGCACCTCTTGTTTGTCTGGATAAGCTGCTTACCCCAGAATGCTCTACCCCCTCCCACTTTTGTGTCCTTGTTCATGCTATTTTCTTCTGAAAGTCCTCCTCTTCTGCCTGTTGAAATCTTAGCTATTCTTGAAACCTCATCTAAAATTCACTCCCTAGCCTGGCCAACATGGTGAAACCCCATGTTTACTAAAAATACAAAAATTAGCTGGGTGTGATGTCACGCACCTGTAATCCCAGCTACTGGGGAGGCTGAGGCAGGAGAGTTGCTTAAACCCAGGAGGCGGAGGTTGCAGTGAGCCGAGATTGAGCCACTGCACTCCAGCCTGGTGACAGAGCGAGACCCTGTCTCAAAAATAAATAAATAAGTAAATATTCACTCCCTCTTTTTTTTTTGAGACAAGTCTCACTATGTTGCTCAGGGTGGAGTGCAGTGGCAAGATCATAGCACACAGTGGCCTCTAACTCTTGGGCTCAAACGATCCTTCCACACAGCCGCATGCTCACTTCTTTGAAGTCTTCCCTGATCACCCAGCCAGAAGTGATCTTCTCTGCCCTTGGCCATACCTTGTATAGTCTACCTTGGACTGTAGTGTTCATTTCCCCTCTAAGGCTAAACCCCTGGGTGACAGGGACCATGTTGTCCCTTGAGTCTTGTTTCTCCATAGGCCCCGCTTATGTGGAGAAGACACTCAGTTTATTCCTGCTGTGTGGAGGAACACATGAGTGCAGAGAACCCTCACACCTTTGTTTTCTTCCCCCTTCTTTCTGTTTTTTGCCTTTTATTTTTCCCAACATGTCTGCCTTGGAAAGCTCTCATAAATTTCAGCCTAATTTGCTGATGAGGATTTGAGGTGTTACTTTTGCAGGATTGCTTACAATTTAAGAAGAGATTGTTGGGAGACAATAAATTTTAGTCTTATGGCTGGGCGCCGTGGCTCACGCCTGTAATTCCAGCATTTTGGGAGGCCAAAGCGGGCAGATCACATGAAGCCAAGAGTTTGAGACCAGCCTGTCCAACATGACAAAACACCATCTCTACTAAAAATACAAAATTTAGCCGGGCACGGTGGCACACGCCTGCAATCCCAGTTATTTGGGAGGCTGAGGCATAAGAATTACCTGAACCTGGGAGGCGGAGGTTGCAGTGAGCTGAGATCCCAACATTGCATTCCAGTCTGGGTGACATAGCAAGATCCTATCTCAACAACAACAACAACAAAAAAAAAAAAAAAGAAAAAAGAAAGAAATTTTAGTCTTAATGATGGAAGAACAGAAGAAAAGACCTAAGAACACAGAATTACAGAATTCAGGGACTCTCTTCTTTCTATGGACTCCTTTGTTTTCTGAATGGGCTCTATTATGAAGTGAGCACAGAAGCACATGACAATAAAAAGGGTAGGATAACATTTAGGAGGATAGGTAGAGATTCTGTTTAAATAAGCTAGGAGACCCAGGAAACATTTAAAAAGAAAAAAGATTGCAGATTTGACTACCCCCAAAACTGAGAACTATCTACATGAGAATATACCTTAAATTTGATAAACGTCAGGAAAAAAGTTGATAATCTTATAACTACTGAAGTTTATTAATTAAATGTTTACAATTTGATATGAGAAAGCTAACATCTCAACAGAAAAATGCTCAAAGGCTAACAATAGGCAATTTATGGAAGAGGAAATACGAATGGCTAGAGTATATGAAAAGATGGTGAACCTCACTGCAGTCAGGGAAATAGAAGTGAAATTAACCAGACATCAGTTTCTACCTATCCAATGTTCAAAATTTAAAACAATTTATAGCATCCAGAGTGGGGAGGTTTGGTGAAATGGGCATGTTATCCATTGCCAGTACTGGTACAGATTGGTGTATTTACCAAAGTAGTTTGGATGCATCTATAAAATAAATGTTTATATTCTTTAACTGAACCACTAATCCTATTTCTAGGAATCCAAGTTATGGCTAAGAAAATAAAAGCACCAGGACGTAAGACTGTAGGTATAAAGATTATTTCAGTGTTGTTTAAGGTGGGAAGCTGGGTGGGAGGAGAACACTGAATATCCATCATAAGGAAACATGCATTCATTCTGTGGCACATTATAAAAAGAAGGCCGTGGATCTACATGTACAGTGGAGAGAATCATGATATATGTTATATTGTGTATTAGGATACCGTTTTCATAAACAAGTGATCGAGAAAGAGAGAAAACCCCTTCCATATGTGTTTATGTTTCTACATGTTTGTGAACCCATATAGAAGGGTGTGAAGGTTACATACCAAAACCATTACCATTGTCACCTCAGGAGGATGGAATTATAGTGGGGGAGCCTGGCCTGGTCTCAGCATTGTGAGGCAGGTGGCGCGCCCAAGGCAAGAAATCAAATGGAAACAATGGAAACTCGGGCCTTGTCTCCCCTGCTTTTTACTCTAGTCCCTTGTGCACCTGAGGAGACCTTGTGCACACAATTGTTGGCACCCCACGCTGCTTACCCCAGTTCATTCACTCCATACAAACGCTCCTTGGGTCTAGGGGTGTGCTCATCCTGGGCCAGTCTGCCATTGGGAGGACAGGCCCAGGAGGAGGCCCACTTTGGTCTTGGAAGAGGGCTGGAGGCCAGGCGGACAGGGACTTCTAGCATCCTGGTCACCTGGAATGTGGTCTAGCAGGAGAGTCACTGACTGCAGATGGGCATATCTTCTTGGCCCTGAAGACTCCTGTTCCATAGGTAAGGCTTGGCCTTCTAATGCAGAGGGCTCAGGGCAGGGGCCCCAGCTGCCCAGCTCTAAGTGCAGTTCAGGGGAGTGGGGAAGAGAGTTAAGATTCTTCTTTAATACTCTTTGGGTTTCTCTAAATTATTTGACTCATTACAATAAACATTCAGAAATTTAAAAAGTCACTTAAAGCCATTTTATTTTATTTTATCTTATTTTATTTTATTTTATTTTATTTTTTGAGACGTAGTCTCACTCTGTCTCCCAGGCTGGAGTGCAGTGGTGAGATCTCGGCTCACTGCAACCTCCCCCTCCTGGGTTCAAGTGATTCTTCTGTGCCTCAGCCTCCCCAGTAGCTGAGATTATAGGTGCCTGCCACCATGCTTGGCTAATTTTTGTATTTTTTTTTTTTTTTTTTTTTTTAGTAGAGACGGGGTTTCACCATGTCAGCCAGGCTGGTCTCGAACTCTTGACCTCAGATAATCCACCCGCCTTGGCCCACCAGTGTGCTGGGATTACAGGCGTGAACCACTGCGCCTGGCCTTTTTTTGGTGGGGGGAGTCTTGCTGTGTCGCTTAGGCTGGAGTGCAGTGGCACGATCTCAGCTCACTGCAACCTCTGCCTCCCAGGTTCAAGCGATTCTCCTGCCCCAGCCTCCCGAGTAGCTGGGATTACAGGCATGAGCCACCACAAATTTTCTGTATTTTTTAGTAGAGGTGAGGTTTCACCATGTTGGCCAGGCTGGTCTCAAACACCTGACCTCAAATGATCTGCCCACCTTGGCCTTCCAAGGTGCTGGAGTTACAGGCATGAGCCACCGCATCCAGCCAAAACCATTCTATTAAATGTTTAAAAACACAAATCAAAATTCTAGTAGAGAAAAAGAACCCCAACTAAATTAATCTCTAAGAGAGAAATGTCAGCCACCATGGCAAGCATGTAGGTAGGATAAGGAACTGAGAGCAGCCACCACTTCCTTACACCTCCTCACTCCATCTTCCCATCCTAATTTCTTGATTTCCTCTCAAGCCAAGGGGCATGCCAGCCATGGAGTCAAGCACACGAGTGCACATAAATATTTTTGGGGGGTGTCAATTTGATGTATTCATTCGATGTTTACCAAGGGCCCTACATGGCAGACACTATTTCAAGAGCTGGAAAAACAACAAAAAATAAAATAGCAATAACCCCTGTGCTCATGGAGACAGACATTAAACAATATGAATAAATAAAAGTAAAGGTGTATGAGAAAGTGCTAAAAATAAAGCCAGGAAAGAATGAGGGCCGGGGACTGCAGTTTTATATGGGTGTCGAGGAACGTGTTTTCTCGTATGATATCTGAATCCAGATGTGTAGGAAATGGCTTGGCTTGGGTTGGGAAACAAAATTAGGTGAAGTGACAGATTTGGGCTGCTTATTTTTTCTTTCCTGGAGTCAATTAAAAAACAAACCAGATACAATAAGACATGGAAGAACCTTAAATGCATATTACTAAGTAAAAGAAACAAATCTGAAAAGCCTACATACTGAATGATTCCAACTATACAACAATCCAGAGAAGACGAAACCACAGAGACAGTAAAAAGATGAGTGGTTGGCAGGGGTTAGTTGGGAGGGACAAAGAGATGACGCACAGGGGTTTTTAGGGTGGTGACATTAGTCTGGATGGTACTATAATGGCAGATACATGACATTATGCATTTGTCAAAACCCATAAAATTTTAATATATACAGTGTATAAAAAGAAAAGGTCATTTAGAAGGTTGTGGGATCTCAGGAAGAAATGCAGACTGTAATAAGAGAGGCTAACTGTATTAAAAATGTATGGAACAACCTCACTGAAGAGGGTGGGAGAAACGGTACTGACCTAAATACTACTGGAAATGAGTAGACTATGTAAGACTAAAGGCAAAATGACTGCACACAAGCACTGTACTCTAGCTGATAACGTTCTTTCTCACAGTGTTACAGGTTAACAATTCTTATTATTGCTATAGCTATACTGTAATGAACATGAAATAAATGAATAGTGGATGGTAGGAGAGAGATTTCACACTGTTGGAGTCGGTATTTACAGAAAATCAAGAGAAAGAAGCTAGAATGGTCCATGTGGTAACAGCTTACAGTTGGAAACATCAGTAAAAACTCATGTTTAACTTAATATAAGATGGTTACATATAGAAATATTATATATATAAAAAACTGTGTATGCATGTTTGTATGTATATAAATGTATGTATGTACGTGTGTGTGTGTGTGTATGTGTGGTATGTATGTATATACAGTAGTATACAAACAAATACTTCTTTTCTCTGTCAGCTGACAGGGTCTAAAAAACCAACCAAACAAACAAACAATAAAAAGACACCCTAGTAGCAAGGAGTACACCTAGCACCCAGATCTTGGTTTCTAGCATCATTCTCACATAAAAGGACCCAGAGCTCCTTGGAGAAATAGGACTGGGGCAAAAAAATACAAAATGAGCCTGAGGCATACTGTAGTGCCAGAAAGTAAGGAAGTGTTCTCTTCCTTCTGCCAAATTGATGGGGATATGTCAAAAGGGCACAAGAGCCACTGGAAAGAACTCCCAATGGCCAAAGAGCAAATTTATTGCTCAAAATTTATTTGAGCAATAGAATAAAGTAGCATTGAATTATAATGCAAAGTATAAAATCAATGTCCATGAGTCTATACTGATATAATTAAATAAATGGGACAGGTCAACAAATCTCTCATATACAAGAATTCCAGATATGAATTTATGTAGATAACTTCACCCTCAAGCAGGTGGGGCATAGCTCTTCACTCCTTAAGTGTTCACTGCACATAGTGACTTCCTTATGGAGAAAGGGGAAAAAGAGTAACTTCACAGTGGAGAAATCTGACCAGCAGTACCTCAGCGAGGTGATCAAGGTCAGCACAAATAGTCATAGGTCACGTTGATGGCGTGTAAGCTTGGCATGATATGAGCAGAACGGTGCTTCACTTTTATGCTCTTTCTCCCAAAAGCCCATAACCTAGTCTAATCATAAGAAAAGCATTAGACAAACCCAGTCAAAGAATGCTCTACAAAATTCCTGAGCAGTATTCCTCAAAACTGCCAAAGTCATCAAACACAAGGCACAAGGAGAGTCTGAGAAACTATCACAGACAAGAGGAGCTGAAGGAGATATGATCTCTAAATGTAATGCAGTGCCCAGAAAGGAAAAACAAAATGTAACAGAAAGCTAAGGTACAAATTTAGGAAATCTGAAAAAAGTATGGACTTCATTATCAATACTGGTTCATTAATTGTTAACAAGTGCAACATCATAATGTGAGATGTTAATAATAGAAGAAAATGGGTATCAGGGTACATGGGAACTCTATGTACTATTTTGTGAATTTTTCTGTAGATCTAAGACTGTTCTGAAACATAAAGTATATTATTTCTTAAAAAGACACCTGTAAAATTACAATCACGATTTGTTATCCCTGGTTTTGTTCAAGAGAAAAGTAGTTATGCGCTTTTGTGTGAATGCACACCAGAAAGACGTTGTTAGTACCGGGGCACTGGAGTCTGGGGCCCTTCCCAAGTCCTTTGGGCAGACAGTCCTTCTGTGGCTTCCAGAAGCCATACACAAAGATGGAGTTCCTGGAACATGAGTGACCTCAAAGATAACTTCTGGGGACCTCTCTTTAGACCTGCAGCCTTGGCTGGGCATGATGGCTCATGCTTGTAACCCCAGCACTTTGGGAGGCCAAGGCAGGAGGATCTCTTGAGCCTAGGAGTTTGCAACCAGCCTGGGCAACATAGCGAGATCCTGTCTCTGAAGAAAATAAAAAAAAAAATAGACCTCCAATCTTCCATAATGGACTTCTTTGCTTCCAAGAAACAGAGAATTTCCTGACAAGGCTCACCCAAGCTTCCATCTGGAAGTGGATATTTACTAGTAAGGAATGGGCTGCTCCATATTTGTGTACAGAAAGTTACCTGGAAATGTGCAAAGCTTCAGTCCATGTTTGCTATTTTAGAGCTTGCCTTTGTGTGCTAAGGAATTATGCTGGCTTAAGGTAATTTTATTTTCAGTCTTCCAAGGGGAAACTGTCAGTAATTTATGTTGTACAGCTTTAGGTTATCATTATTTAATAATTCTGGATTTTCTGCCCTAAGGAAGGAGAAAAAAAAGTGGGGATTTCTTTTCTTTTTTAAAAAATTACTGCTCCCCTCAGTCAGAGGTAGTAGAGGTGTCAGAAGCTGGCCTGGGAATGCTCTGGAGGGCGCCATGGTGAGGATTAGCTGGATGGAGAGGTGGAGGGTGGGGTGTGTGGCAGAGCTGGCCCTGAGTAAAGAGATACCAGAGCAATCATTCGTTACATAGATGGCCAGATGAAGTCAGGATAGAATCTCCTGACTACTCTTCGGCCCTTCCCAAAGGCAGTTTTTGAAGAGATCCGGCTTGTTTGCCTTTAAAATGGAGCTGAAAATTCTTGAGTATTTTGAATGACTCATCCCAGCCTGGTGTGTTGTAAATACCTTTCCTTGGAGAGATTTAAACAGGAAGCCTGGAAAGTCTGTGTTCTCCACGCATTGCACTAGTGGTTGAATTCTGTGTCTGGGGAAAAGCAAAAGGTGTGCCCTTTTCCATTCTCATTGGAGGTGCTGCCCTAAAACCATGGCCATGAAGGAGGGGCCAAGGTGAAATTCTGAGAGGGGCCCTGCTTAACCTTGGCGAATTACACATAAGGTGTTCTTAGGTGCAAGACCAACTGCTCTGTGGAGCATCGCCGACCCCATCTTAAGATTCCCTGGTAACCCATCCTATTCTGTCCCATCATGCTTGGGCATTTTTTAAGCTCAAGGTGGTTCTTCGCAGCCTTTGTCGCTGCAGAATGAAATGTGAGTGAATGAAGCTTAACTCTCAACTCCCCAAGTGCACCTGTGCGGCCGAATGCTGCTTTCTCACCCTTCACTTAAGGCTTGCCCTGCTAACCTACTTGGTATATACCATACATTTGATATTCACATTATTTCCCCTCCCTTTCCTGTTTCCTTAACACACTTTCTCTCTAAGTTCAAGTGTGTGGCAGGTTAATCACACCTATCATTTTGCAGAGCGGTCAGGATGTGGGGTGGGTTCTGGAGAGGAGGGTGTGGAGAGAGAGGTCTCTAGATTGGCGAGTGGATAGCAAGCAGACCCGGACAGACAACCAGGAAGGAATGAGTTCATTGCAAGGGCTTTTCTTTGTCACTCACCTGCCTTTTCCCAAGTGCTGACATGTTTTATGTTGCGCTGAGAGTTGAGAAAAGTTGTGGTTTCTCTTAATTCCTGTGATTCCAGACAGGATGGTCCTTCTAGCAGGCTGAGTGATCTCCTCTCATGAGACTCTAGGATTGAATTCATTCCTGCTTTTAAAAAAGAAAGAAAAGAAAGAGGAAAACCGAAACTTGTGAAAAAAAAATCCGTGTCGGGGGCGATGCTCTTTTGGGCAAATTCTTTGTCTCCAGGTAGAGTTACATTTTAAGTGAAAGAGAGTGAGCAAGGACAGGTTCCCCTTCTGGTTCCCTTCTTCTCCCCTCGCCTCCTCTCCTCTCCTCTCCTCTTCTCCCTTCTTCCTCTTCTCCATTCTTCCTTCCTTTCCTCCCTGTGCCTCTGTTCTCTCCCCCTTTCTTTCTCTCATTCTCATCTTTTCATTTGAAAGAACTGGATGCTTGCCCATCCAGACCAAGCTGGCTTTGGGAGGAAAAGCTTAGGGAGGAAGCAATGTGAGGAGACTGGAAATAGAATCTGGACTCTCTTTGGTTTCCAGCCCTTAAATTGGGAAAGGAAGAAGTCCTTCCTGCTCCTGGCCAGGGTCTGGGGAGATGAAGGGTGCCACTTGAGCTTCTGGCTTGTGGGTATCCAGGACTGGAGTTGCCTGAGCTGCCCACACCACGTGGCAGCTGGCACAAACCCATGACCCCATCTGCAGGCACCCAGGCTGCACTGCCAGGGATTAGGTGGAACATATGTACATAAGATGCTTATGGCTTTTTCCAGACAGAAGACCACTTTCCAGCCTGAGAAGCGGCTTGGAGGGGCAGGGTAATTAGGTAGAGTCTCATGCTAGGAGGGACAGAAAGCTCGGCTCCCAGCAGAACTTGGACTCATTCATTTCCCTCCCTTCCACTGATGCTTTCTCTCTTCTCATCATTTTTTCTCTTTCCCCACTTTTTCTTTTCTCTTTTTCCCCACCTGCTTCCTGGTCACTTTTTTCCTTCTTCATTCTTCCTAAACTTCTCCTGTTCCTTTTTTTTCTCACCTATGTTTTGCTTTCTTCTCATCCCTTCTTTTTCTCTTTTGCTTGCTTTCTTCACTATGCTCCTTCTGTATCTTCATGTTTATTGCCATTTTTTTCTTGACTCATCTATCAGCTGAAATGGATTGCAATTCCCATGGAGGGAAAGATGCAGGCTGTGTAATTGAAAAGCAATATGTGCCTTCATATTACTGCAGAGAGGCAAGGGTGTTACGACACAGAAGGGATCGCTGCTGCCGTTGATTGAGAACTACTGCTAATTCTTACAGCAGCCTCACTAGGTAGCATGAGGTTTCTGTTGTACAGATTGGGAAGCCCAGCCTCAGAAGCCAGACTCAGTATTGCACAAGGTCACCCTGAATGCTAGAAGGTGGAGCTGAACACAGTCCTGTCTAATTCTGATGTTTCCCTTGCTTTTATACAGCTTTAGGATGGTGGGTATAGAGGCCGTGAATGGGGAAGTAGGAGGGGAAGTGTTTCTGATTTGAGTCAAATGTCTACAGTGATGGTTCTCCAACTTAAGCATGCAACAGAGTCCCCAAAGTTTCCAACACAGGTCTGGGGAGGGGCCTGAGAGCGTGTGTTTCTGACAAAATCCTGGGTGAGGCTGATGCTGTTGGCCTGGCATTGACCGTAGAGTTAGGTGTCAGGTCAGATCTCAACCTCAGGTGGCAGGGAACATTTTCTAGACCTCAGTATGTGTGCAGAGTGGGTGTCTATGGAAACACTTTGTTAAACCCTGTCTCATTTCACAAAGGACTTGAGACTGCCTTGTAAAACTATGCATCATTAGAAAAATGACAAACAGTTGAGGAAATCAAGTGAAGGGAAAATGAGGAAAAACAGTTAGTATAAATTGTTGGAATCCAATAAGGATCATTCTCCCTCTTTGTTGGCAGAATTGTGTGGACTTCCATTTCCTCATTGACTGGGTCCTGTTTTCATTTTAGGAAGAGGGCTCTTACATTTTATCCCTTGAATAAAATTCTCCTTTACCCAAACTGCCTCGCAGAAAATGTCTTCTTACCTAAAGAATTTGTGTCAGGTGCGGTGGCTCACTCCTGTAATCCCAACACTTTGGGAGGCCAAAGCGGGTTGATCCCTTGAGGTCAGGAGTTTGAGATCAGCCTGGCCAAGACGGTGAAACCCCATCTCTACTAAAAATACAAAAATAAGCTGGGTGTGGTGGTGCATGCCTGTAATCCCAGCTACTTGGGAAGCTGAGGTAGGAGAATTGCACGAACCCAGGAGGTGGAGGTTGCAGTGAGCCAAGACTGCGCCACTGCACTCCAGCCAGTATGTTCATGAAGGCACATAAGAATAGAATTTAATTTGACAAAGAGGAGAAAAAAAGAATTGCGAACACTTTGAGGAGTTTTATCATAATGCAGGTATACAAGTATAACTTTGTAGAAACAAAATACCGAGCAACTATTTAATGTACATACAGCTATGGTATAGTTTTTTTTAAAAAAAGTAAATTTGTAATCAGGAAGCTTGGATTGAGTTGTAGATTTCCCACTACTGTTGACCACTTTGAGTCTTGGTTTCTGCAAAAATAAAATAAAGATTTCTAGCATCTATCTGTTTCAACCAGGCCTCAGTCAGAAAACAGAAACCAATATTTAAAGCAAATGGGCACTTAATACTGGGAGTTAGGTACTTAAAAACCACAGGAGAGATTGGGAGAACAGAAGGCGAGAGAAGTACCACTGCTTTCCAGTTCGCCTGTGTAGCTGCAAAGCTGTGAGCATCAGGAAATTGCTACTTCCACCCAGAGATCAAGAAACAGCATCCTGGGGCGAGTGGCTGGCAGGGCAAGGCCCAGACTCCTGGCCCCAGAAAAGGCTCACGTTTACCTGAGTGGCCTGTCATTGGCTACTGCTCCTGCTGGAGGAAGGAAGACTTCATTTGACTTCTGCCTTCCAAATCTCACACAAGGGCATTGTACTGGCACAAATGATAGTGGATCCTTGCTGGTAAGATGGTTGCTTCTAGCCCCGAGGAGTCAAGAAAGAGCTTAGAAGCAGGTGGAGATGAGGGTAACAGCCCACAGTGTTCAGCCCACTGACTAAAAGGCCGAGGGTTGCAGCTGGGCGTGGAGGCTCGTGCCTGTAAGTCCAGCACTTTGGGAGCCCGAGGAGGGGGGATTGCCTGAGGTCAGGAGTTCAAGACCTGCCTGACCAGTGAAACCCCCTCTCTACTAAAAATACAAAAATCAGCCGAGTGTGGTGGCAAGAGTCTTTAATCCCAGCTACTAGGGAGGCTGAGGCAGGAGAATCGCTTGAACCTGGGAGGCCAGGTTGCAGTGAGCCGAGATGGCGCCACTGCACTCCAGCCTGGGCAACAGAGAGAGATTCTGTCTCAAAAACAAAAACAAAAACAAAAACAAAAACAAAAAAAAAAAACAAAAGAAAAAAGAAAAAGGAAAAGAAAAAAGAAAGAAAGCTGAGAGTTGCATTCTATTAGCAGGTTGCAAAATCAATTTAGAAGGGTGTGGCCAGCATCTTTAACAAATCAAATGGAATAAAATAGAAAATAACACAGTGTTTCACATAGAGTAAAGGTAAGTGTCATTGTGTGAGAGTTTATTTTTGATGCTCTATGTTTGAATGTCTCTGCGTGTGACACACTGGATCATTATGTCTAAAGGTCAAAAAAGGATGAAAACTGTAGAATAAAGAATCGATTAGACTGAAATCACTTACGCATTTTGTCAATTGTAAAGTGCAAAGCAAATATGAATTACTAGCACGCTTGCCTTTCCTGAGCCCCATACTCCATTTTCCAACCTCAATACTGCATCTCTGCCGTACAAGATACCACCTGACTGCCTTGGTATGCACACTCAGGTTTCTCCCACACTCACTGATGCCCACAAAGTAAAACCACCAGGGACAGAAAAGAGAGATTAGGATGTTAAACAAACAAACAAACAAACAAATTATGGTGTTTGATTTCTTTTAGACCCAGCCTAACTTTTCTGGTTGAAGGCATCCTTAGCAAAAATGACAAATGGCTGCTGGAATTTAGCTGGGGAAATAAAGAAGCTGCGTGGTATGTGAACTATCTCTATAAAGATAAACTGTACACCTTACTCATAATAACAGCATCTATTTCCAGATAAAGCCATATCCCCATTCAGATGCAGGTTTCTTGAGTTCACCTGTTACCAACATCTGGAGATTCCAAGATAATATTCCAGAGTCAGATTCATACTTACCGAAAGCAGGCTTTGAAATTTTATTAACTGAGAAATCATGGTTGTCTCTTTCTTATAGACCACATTGTTTCAGGGATTCTCATATCTTTTGGAAGGGGCTGAATTTCACTTTGCTGGAGGATAAATGAAATCTTAAACTGGGTACAAATTTAATCATTTTATTTTATTTTTTTCTGGCTTAGAAATTCTTCCTTATCTGTCTTTCCCTGGACTCTCTCCTTTTTTTAATTGCTTGTAAGAGGCAGTCTGTGATAGAATAACTGGTTTTTCCTGGCATGGCTAGTAAATAATAAGAAAAGCACCATTCACTAATAACAATTTACTGATTGTCCTCCGAGCCCTGCAGGAGGTGGGTGAATCGTGTGACTCCTCTCTGTAGCAAAGGTTATGACAAGGTGGTAAGATCCAGGTCAGCACCAAGTAGGAATTCAAAACCAAGTCATGTGGATTCTGTTGAGAGCAGCATTTTTTGCCCCCTACCTACTTAAGTGCCCAGAGAGTGGCTACCAGACCGAGGCTGCACTTATCAAAATGTACCTGGGCTTTTCTATGCTGGTGTTTGTCCCCAGGCAATGAGAATGACTCTTCTTGCTACCCAGGAGCGCTGGAGAAATATTAGGAAGGGGTGTGTGGAGATATGGATTGGGAGGGTTGTGGGCTGGTAGGATGGGGATGACTGAGGCGGGGAGTTAGGAGATGTGTATAGATTGAGAACTTTTAGAAAAAGAAATTCAGGAAGCACAAAGAGTAATTAAATAAGTCAGAGAACTGCTAAACACTGTGTGGGATTCGAATATGGGCCAAGAGAGGGAGATTTAATCTCAGAATGTCCTGCGTGCTCCTAGTTTTAGTGTTTGTCTGAGAATGGATTTAAGGCTTGTGGGGACTAGAGAAAAACGGTGCTAAATCCAGAGCACCCCAAACCAGCCATTTTTTGAAATGAGAGTAAGAAGGAATAAGGAAGGAAGTTCCCATTTGCTGAACACTGAGGACATTTCAGAGACCATAGCAGGTGCTGACATCTCCCTTCCTCCTTCTTCCTTCCTGCCCTCTCCTTTCCTTTCCTTCTCCCCTCTCCTCCCCTCTCCCTCCTACCCCACCCTCTCCTTTTTCTCCCCTCCTCTCCTGTCTCTCCCCTCCCTCCCTCCCCTCTCCCTCCCTCCCTCCCTCCCTTCCTTCCTTCCTTCCTTCCTTCCTTCCTTCCTTCCTTCTTTCTTTCCTTCCTTCCTTCCTTCCTTCTTTCTTTCCTTCCTTCCTTCCCTTTTATTCTAATCTCAATTTATTTCTCCTAACAATCTTATGATTATTCTTACTTTAAAGATAAAACTTAAGGTTCCAAGAACTTAAATAGCTCTCCCAAGTTTATACAACTAAATGAAAAAAGAATATTCATGTTGAGCTCTGCTTAAGTCCCAAATTCATATTCTTCCCAAAACATTACCCCTCTTCCAGAAAATGGAATGGAAAATGTCTGTAGAAACCCAAGTACTGTTCCAAGCTATACTGCATAGCAAGACCACTTATAATTATCTTTATGTATTCTGTCTGTGCCCGAAATTTCCATATATTTGGTTTCTACATGGTTGGTTATCTGTTTTTAGGAGAGGATTTTGTGGAATTGCCCTTCCCTGCTCTGCAGAAATAAGAAGGAAAGGCCATGATCCTAAGAGAACAGTTTTTGGAATAGAAATTCCTTTGCTACTAAAAGTTATCATTGTGAATGCCAGGCAGTACTGGAGTTCAACAGTGGTATTTTAGTTTCTTTGGGTTTCCTGTAGGTGTATGCTGCTTGATTTAGTCTGGCGCTAACCAGGGCCAGCTACATAATTTGCAGGGTCCAGAGCAAAATAAAAATGTGAGACCCCTTGTTAAAAAAATTATGAAGGGTTTTAAAATAGCAAAGGCACAGCACATTTGCACAGGACATCCACCAATGACACTGGTTCTGGGGCTAACCCATAGCGATTTTGTCCAACCAAGATAATTCACAGAACACCTGCTGTCCTTTGCCTGTTATACCATGGTTACTAAGATAAATACATCTGGCCGGGTGGAGGTAGGATTCTATTAAAAAGCAACTGAACAACAGCAGTTTTTGTAAACTCACTTACTTGCTCTTTCATTCATGAAGTTATCCATTCAAAAGGCATTTATTGACCTCATACTGTAGGCCAGGCCCCATGCAAGGTGCTGGGGACTCCACTCTGAAGCATGACCTTGCCCTTCCCAAACAGTAGCCACAAGCCCTGGAGACAGAGCAGCTTAGACACTGGATGTGGAAATAAATGACCTCTTGATCTCTCTACCTGGAAGTCTTTTCCCTGAGAAGATTGTTGATGGTCCTCCAGAGCCCCATGCATTGAGGCCTTATTGGGTTATTTGGTGGCAAGCAACAGAAGCCGATTCTGCTAAATTATGGGGAAAAAGGTATTTATTGGAAAGATATGGGAGGGCTCCCAGAATTGGAGGAAATGGGGAAAACCAGGCCTTGGGAGGGACAGAAACTCAGGAAGGTTTGGGCAATCTAGGTCAAAGGAAAAATAGTCCCTTCAAAATGCCACTGTAGGAATGAATCAACTTTGGCTTTAAAAACATTTATTGAAAAACTCAGATAGATGGCAGAGAATTGAGTGAAGTCTACTCCTCAGCTCATGGCGCCCTGCCCTTTGGGGTCTGGGCAAAGCCTTGTCTTGTTTTATTTTATATTTTTTCCTTATTTGATCCCTAAATTTCAGTTCCCTCCTCCTCACAGGCAACCACTTTAAATGTGCTTGATTTAAGTCCTTGAATTCTATATATGTATGTATATATAATATGTATATATAACATGTGTATTTATGTATATGTATGTATATAAAACACATAGTGTCTTCGGTATGTGTTTGTTTAAAATGTACATAATTGGCTTTACACTATAGATACAGATAGAGTGGGGAGAGCCACTCTGCTCTCACACACAACACAGGTGGGAAGTGCCATAGGGTGATCACCACTTAGGAGCCGTCCTCCACCGAGGACTCTCAGGAGCTGACGTCAACTCTGGCTCCGTTGACTCTCAGGTGGAATCACTTTGAGGCTTGGACCATTTCCCAGAGTTCCCTCCCAGAGTCATGCACAGGGGCAGCTACTTTAATAAGAAGCCCTTATTGCCTTTCGTCCTCTTCCTGCATCACCTCCTCATTTCCCAGCTGGTATTGCTGGCACCTCCCAAATGCCCCACTTGCACTTGAGTTCTTGCTTCAGGGTCGGCTTTTAGGGAGATCCAAACAAGATGCCGTCCTTATCTTTGCCCTCCCTCTCAGCAGCCTGTCAAGTGATGAGGCTGGGCTCCTGACAGCCATGCTTGGGTAACATGAGCCTGTCCTTCTGCCAGTTGATTGGGCCAGAGAGAGAGAGAGCTGAGTCCACCTGGACCAATGAGAGTCCCTTCTCGGAACTTGGAAATTAGCAGGGATGGTGGGGGGCGGGGAGGGGAGAGAGAGAAAGAAAGAGATGGGCGAGAGAGAGAAAGTGATAGGAGAGAGAGGAGGCAAAAAGAGAGAAGAGAGAGAAATGTGTGTGTGTGTGTGAGAGAGAGAGAGAGAGAGAAGAAAGAAAAGAAAAGGGGAAAGAGAAATGGACAGAATGAATCTTTCCGGAGGGAGGTGGAGGTGGGGAGTGGGAGTATGTGCGTTGGAGCTATGAGCACGTTCTTCCGCAATACTCTGGGGAGCTCAAGTGGTCTGCAGAGAGCAAAATAAAGCAGGTGTGCAGAGCAAAGCATAGGCAAGGCAAAAGTACGCGGAGGTTTTGGCAGCCTTCCAGGTTGGGGTTCCAATCTTTTCAGAGGTCTGGCTCTATTTCTGCATTGACCAAAAAAAGTGCCCAGTTTTGGCTTACACTAGGATGACTTCTTTTACTTGCAGACAGAACATCTATCAACATAACTTTTGCTTCAAAAGTAATTCTTATTAAAAATAAATTGCGTTTTTAGGGCTGTTCTGAAATACATTGGCTCTGGAACTGAGATTTTTATTGTATATTTGTTCATCTGCTTCCCTAGGAGGCACGTTGGCACAAGAAAGAGGTAATTTCCACTTTCTCCATAAGGAAAAGCTAGGGGCTTTCTTTTGAGGGGTTCTTGTGTTCTCTGCTATCTTGGGACCTGAAGGGGCAAGAAGCTGGATTCCTCACACAGGTGTTGGCTGTGTGTGTGGAAGGCCATCCTGAGGGTCAGGAGGCTGGAGATGCCATCTGTGCACGAGGACCTCCAGGACCCACAGGTTGCTGGATGAGGGCACCCCTTGGCCAGCACTTCCAAGGACCTGGCGTGGATAGGACAGTGAGGTTGGCCACTGGGTCCTGCGGCCTTGGGGACGCTGGCAAGGCTACATGGCTGAAACTGTGGTTGATGGGAGGACAGTTGTGAGGGGCTGCCAGGGTGGCAGGGCACGCCAGAAGGGAGAACTTGCTCTTGGCAGTGGCTATGGGCAGCAAAGAAATAGTGACCATTCAGAGCTGAAGGCCATTCAGAACCCTTCCCCATTTCTCTGATGTGAGTAAGCCCTGGGAGTCCTACATGTTCCAGGATGGTAGATCATGAATATTGCCTTTTTTTTTTTTTTTTGAGACAGGGTCTCACTCTGTCACCCAGGCTGGAGTGCAGTGGGACGATCACGGCTCACTGCAAACTCTGCCTCCTGGATTCAAGCGATTCTCCTGCCTCAGCCTCCTGAGTAGCGGGACTACAGGTGCCCGCCACCATGCCTGGCTAATTTTTGTATTTTTAGTAGAGATGAGGTTTCACCATGTTGGTTAGGTTCGTCTCGAACTCCTGACCTCAAGCGATCCACCCACCTTGGCCTCCCAAAGTGCTGGGATTACAGGCGTGAGCCACCACGCCCGGCCTGATATTAGCCATTGTAACCAACCTTGGCAAGTGGTGCTGGGATTGAATTTAATTAAGAAAGTGCAATAAGACATTTGTTACACTCCAGGTGTGGTGGAAGAACTCATACTTATTCCATTTGTACATTTGGTAAGACATTTGTTACACTCCACGTGTGGTGGAAGAACTCATACTTATTCCATTTGTACATTTGGATAACTGTTCTGATTAAGGGTAATCATTCTTCATGGATGTATTTTGTCCTACAATTAAATCTCAGAGGTGACTGTTTCTTAGGAACGTTTTTAGGTGA
Source organism: Homo sapiens (assembly GCF_000001405.40). Classification (NCBI taxonomy): domain Eukaryota; kingdom Metazoa; phylum Chordata; class Mammalia; order Primates; family Hominidae; genus Homo; species Homo sapiens. The sequence continues at coordinate 6,833,040 of NC_000006.12, read as the reverse complement.
AAATATAGAACCACTTCCACAATCTATTACAATGGAGAGAAAGGAGCGCAAGGAAAACAGAATTATCTAAGGAATTATCCAGTACCAATTATCTAAGCATTGGTACTGGACCAGTGAGAGAGCAAGTTAAACAAGAGAAACTGCTCTAGAGAAAGACATTTAGGGGACTAAGCCAAGAAGTTCACAGAACAGATAGAAAGACTAGAGAACAACTGCAAGAAAAAGAGGGGAAGCCAAGGGAATTCGGAGCCAAGGTTGTGCCTCAGGTTAGGGGGCCCCCCTGCCACCCCAAGACAGTGCAGGCATTGCTGTAGGTGGAACGCATGTGGCACCATTCTTTGCTTCTGTGTCACTTGCTGAGGACTCAGTGTCCTGTTAGATTGGCCAGACACATGTTGTTTGTTCAGGCTTGGCCTCCAGGGCTGAGGAACAGCAAATGTCTGGCTCTCTGACTACTGTAGTGGAAGGTGTGTGTCCCACCAAGACCGAGGCAGATTCCCCAATATGGCAAAGGGGTTCAGATGCGGAGCAGCCCAAGACCCCCTTGCATAAAGCTATTATGATAGGCAAACATCCACAATGAAAAGCAGCTAACACTGACACCCTTGTGGGCAGGTCGGGAGCATCCATGTCCCCAGGGATATCTCCCAGGCCTCTTCCCGTGCACACGATCTCTCTTCCTTCCCATGTGCCCTTCTGTGGCTGCAATCCCACCTCTATGCTGGTGAATCTGGCATCTCAAGCTTGGTTGCTATCTCCACGTCTCTTACGAGTTTCAGACTGTTACATTCAACCCACTCCTCCACATAGCCTCTTCCATGTCCCTCAAACTAAACTGAACTCATTATCTCTAAGAAAGTCTACGTGTGGGGCAGTGGAGGTCATGGACTCTGGGTTGGATACCTTGGGTTAGAAGCCCAGCTGTATAGCCTTGGAAAAGTTACAGACCTTTTATGGCTTAGTTTTGTCATCTATAAAACGGGGATAGCATCTATCTCACAAGGTTGTTACGCCGATTAAATGACTTCATGGATGGAAAACGATTAGAATATTTCCTGGCACATAGTAAGCATTCAATAAGTTTTTCTTTTCCACCAGATTTAGACCTTTCCTTATTTCCTTTTCTCAGCTAATACTCCTTAATCACATGCACTAGAAACTTCGAAGTCACACTTGACTGCTTTTTTCCTTCTCTTGATATTATAACAGTTTAAAAGTCTACTGACTCAATATCTCAAATGTTTCTCAGATCCTTCTCCTTCTGTCCAACCCCGCTGCCACTTCCTTGGTTTTGGCCACAATCCTCTTTTGTTTGGATAAGAGAAACAGTCCTCTAACTGGTTTCTTAGCCACCAGGTACTTCCAGTTTGTAGAAGGACAAAATTATTTCATGTGATAATCATAACAGCTAATGTTTTTTGAATCTCCACTGTAAACTAAAAAATCTAAGAGCTGGCAGGGAGCCGTGGCTCACGCCTGTAATCCCAGCACTTTGGGAGGCCGAGGTGGGCAGATCACAAGGTCAGGAGTTTGAGACCAGCCTGGCCAACATGGTGAAACCCCGTCTCTACTAAAAAATATAAAAATTAGCCGGGCGTGGTGGCATGCGCTTGTAATCCCATCTACTCAGAAGGATGAGGAAGAAGAATTGCTTGAACCCAGGAGGCAGACGTTGCAGTGAGCCGAGATCACGCCACTGCACTCCAGAGCCTGGATGACAGGGAGAGACTTTGTTTCAGGAAAAAAAAAAAATCTAAGAGCTTTACATGGATTTGTTCATTTGATTGTCACACCAACCTCCGGCATAGGATCATAATTTTTATTATCTCTCTTTGTAGATGGGCAAACCAAGGCATGGAGTGCTTAGAGGACTTACTCAGGGCTGCACAGCAGTAAATGGTCCAGGTGGGATTGAACACAGGCTCCCAGAGCAGACATTTATGTTCTTTGCTGGATCCTGGGCCCTCTGCAGGAGTTTCCAGGAGAGCTGGAATTTTGATTTCAATGTATTCTAAACTAAAATTATGAAACAAATTGAACTTGATTGATTTAATTAAATCTTTTTTTTCTTTTTCTTATTTATTTATTTATTTTTGAGACAGGGTCTTGCTGTGTTGCCCAGGCTGGAGTGTAGTGGTGTGTTTGTGACTCACTGCAGCCTTGACCTCCTGGGCTCAAGCAATCCTCTCACCTCAGCCTCCTGAGTGGCTGGGACTACAGGTGTGTGCCACCATGCCCAGGTAATTTTTGTATTTTTTGTAGAGAGAGTGTCTCACCATGTTGATCAGGTTGGATTTGAACTCCTGGGCTCAAGTGAGCCACCTGCCTTGGCCTCCCAAAGTGTTGGGATTGCAAGCATGAGCCACTGTGCTTGGCTGATTAATTGAAAATATGTAGATTAACACTGGTAGTTTCACTTGATCTGTTTGTCAGGTGATCATTCCTATATACGGCCCTGTGAGGAGAGAGGGCATTTGACAATTTGAGAGACTGACAGATAACGACATGCTCACTCATGTTCACTGCCAATGACTTGTCACATCTGCCAATGACTTGTCACATGTAGCTCATGTGCTACAAGGAGGTCGTGGTGTGGCTAAATAAGTGTGTGTGTGTATATACACACACATATGCATATATACATACATATACATATGTAGCATAGCATATAACTGACTTCTATGTAGAATCTTTTCACGTTTTATGAAATGGGAAGTAGAGAGGAAACATGTATTTCAAGTAGAGGTTTATTCAAGGCAAAGCTCTCAGGAGATTTGTCAGATCTGAAGATGCAGATTTGACAGCAATTCCAAAATTTCTGACCTGTTCTGATGAGTAGCTATCAGTAGATATAAGCTATGTAGAAAATCATCTTGAAAATTAAGAACAACTTAATTTGTCTCTTCTCAATACAGATGACATTTTAATAATGAGTGAAAGAATAATTGATTTTCAAAAGAAAGTTATGTTGCAGTGAGAGCATGTTGAAAACAGGTCTTTGAGATTATTTCTAAATCTTGCAGTGTCCTTCCCTCCCTCCCTTCCTCTCTCCCTACTTCCCTTCTTCCCTCCCTGCCTTCCTTCCTCCCTCCTTCCTTCCTTCTCGTCCTTCCTTTCAGCTGAAAATGATATTTATTAAATATAGACCTCGTACCTGCATTCTTTAAAAATATGGAAAAAGAATTTTCTATTCTGCCCCCAATTTGTCAAATAAAAAATTTCAGTGAGTTTTAAAGACATTTGTTAAAAGTATAAAGTACAACAACTTCTGATTAATTTTTAATAATAGCCAATCAACATTAGTGAAGACTGATACTTAACAGCCAAATTTCAATACACCTTTTGCTTAATATGGTGGATAGGTTTAAAAGATACGTACCAATGTACCAAGATCCTCATTTGGACCTACTTATGTTTGTGAGGCACGTCTTTTACTTATGACAGTCATTAAAATCAAATATCAAAATATGACCTTCAAATCACATGCTAAGCCAAGATTTGAAAAAATAACTAAAATTATTCAATCATATTACTCTCATAGAATATTAACATTACATATAAAGCTTTTTTTTTTTTTGAGATGGAGTCTCACTCTGTCGCTCAGGCTGGAGTGCAGTGGCGCAATCTCGGCTCACTGCAAGCTCCGCCTCCCGGGTTCATGCCATTCTCCCGCCTCAGCCTCCTGAGTAGCTGGGACTACAGGTGCCCACCACCACGCCTGGCTAATTTTGGTATTTTTAGTAGAGACGGGGTTTCACTGTGTTAGCCAGGATGGTCTCGATCTCCTGACGTCGTGATCCACCCGCCTTGGCCTCCCAAAGTGCTGGGATTACAGGCATGAGTCACTGTGCCCAGCCTCATATAAAGCTTTTTATATGGTTGATAAATAAAATATTTTAAATTATTAAAATATTTTCTTTAAATTTTTGTTCTTATATTTCCTAATGTTTCTAAAAATTATATAGAGGCAATCATATGAAATTTATAAACAAAGCAGTATTAATGCACTAGTACCACTTGAATTTTTTCCCCCTGACAAAAATGTTTGAAGGCCACTGCTCAATTTTATAAATATTGTTTTTTTTTTTTGTCATTGTCATTCTGCTAGTCAGAATACTTTAAATTTGCTAAGTGCTTATTTCTGCTACCTTTCTGGAATGAAGATTGTTGCTCTAATTAGATGTTTGCTTCTTGTTTTTTCTTTATATATATTACACATATATGTAGTTTGCCTTATTTTCTAAACTTCAAATTTCAGCTCCTTCTTGGGGTATAGCCTTGTTTCTAACTGATTAATTTCCCCCCACTTCAACTTTTCAGTCTTTTCCATTTTCTTTTTTTTTTTTTTTTTGAGACAGAGCATCACTTTGTCACCCAGGCTGGAGTTAAATGGCGCTATCTTGGCTCACTGAAACTTCTGCCTCCTGGGTTCAGGTGGTTCTCGTGCCTCAACCACCTGAGTAGCTGGGACTACAGGTGTGTGCTACAGCGCCCATCTAATTTTTGTATTTTTTTAAGTTGAAATGAGGTTTCACCACATTGTCCAGGTTGGTCTCGAACTCCTGACCTCAAGTGATCTGCCCGCCTTGGCCTCCCAAAGTGCTGGGATTACAGGCGTGAGACATGGTGCCTGGTCTTTTTTTTCTTCTTTCTGTCCAATTTGTGTGTTAGGTTCAGGGAGTACATATGCAGGTTGGTTACTGGGTAAATTGCATGTCACAGAGGTTTAGTGTACAGATTATTTTGTCACCCACATAATGAACATAGTACTAGATAGGTAGTTTTTTGATCCTGACCCTTCTCCCAGCCTCTACTCTCAAGCAGTCCCTCCCTCCCTTCCTCCCTCCCTCCCTTCCTTCCTTCCTTTCTTTCTATCTTTTTGTCTGTCTTTTTGGAGTCTCGCTCTGTTGTCCAGGCTGGAGTGCAGTGGCGTGATCTCGGCTCACTGCACCCTCCCCTTCCCAGGTTCAAGCGATTCTCCTGCCTCAGCCGCCCAAGTAGCTGGGACTATAGGTGCCAGCCACCACGCCTGGCTAATTTTTTGTATTTTTAGTGGAGACGGGGTTTCACCGTGTTAGCCAGGATGGTCTCCATCTCCTGGCCTCGTGATCCGCCCACCTTGGCCTCCCAAAGTGCTGGGATTACTGGCGTGACAGGGTCTGGCTCTATCACCCAGGCTGGAGTACAGTGGCTCAATCTCAGCTCACTGTATCCTTGACCTCCTAGGATCAGTTGATCCTCCCACCTCAGCCTCCGGAGTAGCTGGGATTACAGGCACGTGCCCCCATGCCTGGCTAATTTTTGTGTTTTTTGTAGAGACAGGGTTTCACCGTATTGCCCAGGCTGGTCTCAAACTCCCAAGCTCAAGCGATCCACCCGCCTCGGCTTCCCAAGGAACTGGGATTACAGGCATGAGCCACCACACCCGGCCTCCTTTTTCTTTCACAATATTCCTTTTAAACAATGCAAAACTTGTGTTTTGCATTCTACTTTAAGCATGCCGGGTCGTCTCCTGCCGGGTGGGGAGCCCCCTCTGTCTTCCCTTCTGTGCTCCCACTTTCTGCCTTACCCCGCTGGGTTGCTGGCTTCAGACCTCTCTCCTTCTCTCTTTTCCCTTTCTCTTCTCTCTCCTCTGTCCATTATTCCCACTCCCCTCCGGAACACAATCCAATCTCTCAGGAGTATCTGCGGTGGGAGGAGCATCACAGGGAAGTAGCTGGGACTCATTGATCCAATCTCTCAGGAGTATCTGTGGTGAGAGGAGCATCACGGAGAAGTAGCTGGGACTCACTGATTTCTGCTTCCCTGGTTGGGGCAGTGATGCCCAGCCGGGCGCATAAAACAAAACTGGGCCTCCCGGCTCCCAGCACCACTGGTCAATGGCAGCACTGTGGCCCTAAGCCCCACCCTCAGGCCTTGCTGGGTCCAGCCATCCTGAGCTCAGTGCTCTCACGCTTTTCCCGAGAGATCGTGGAGACCAGTAGGAAATAGCAGAGAAAAACTGAAGTTATTAGTTACGTATGGGAAAATTCGTAGCTGTCTTGTGGGAGGCAGATAATGAGGGACATTTGGATCTTCCAATGTGGGGTCTAAACTTTGTAAATCTCAGGCAAGGCATTGGCTTAGTGGATTAAAATGGAAACCTAAAGGCACCTTGTTACCACGCTGTTTGCTGTAGGGCAGAAAGCAGCGTGCGTCAGGCCAGCTCTGGGTCTCTGCCAAAGGGTTTCATTTCCTGAACCACTAAAACCATTTCCCTTTGAGGGCTGCCCTGTGCCCCAAGCCCCAGCACAGAGCTACAAACAGAGGCTCCAAGGCCAGTGCCCCTCTGGCCACACCTGCCAGTGGAGAATCTGTCCCCATTAGGGGCTTCCTGTGCCCTGCCACAGAGCATCCCCCATTCGCCTGTACAGTCCCTTTCCCCATCTACAGCCTTATGACACTGCCTATCAGCGTCCACAGTCACTGTGTGTGCCGGGGTGGCTGGCTGCAGTGAGAGGCCTGCAGGGGCCCACAGCCATCTGGAGTAGAGGCCAGGTCCTTGGACCTACTTGGAGGAGCCACATTTGGTGGTGTGTCCTTTTGGGATTGTCATCCCTCAGTCTCAGGAGCATGGACGGTCTGACTCACTGCCTGCAGCACACCACGTGGGTAATCTGAGTGCCCGCCGGGCGGGTAGCTGCAGCCCCTGAGCCAGGGCTGCTCTGTTTTTATTCAACTGTTAACACGTCTCAGCTCTTCTTCAATATCAAAATGTTTTCCCATGAACACCGAGTGTAGCATTTTCCCTGTCTTATCGGCCCTAGCAACCAGGAGCCTGGTTTCCAGGAAAGCAGCCACTCGATCCAACCTGGAGAGATCCATTCCCACTCCACTGTTAAGAGCTGGGGCATAAATGCCCAGCAACTGCCGTGGCATTTATGCCCCAGCTCTCAACAGCAGAGTGCGTTTTTTTTTTGTTTTTTTTTTGTTTGTTTGTTTGTTTTTTAGCGGTGGCCACATGATGTCATTCCTAACTGGCCAGCCTTCCTTCTCCCCCGACTCAATGCAGCCCTCATGTCCTCGCAGTCCAGATGCTGGTTTGCAGAATGCTGGGAACACTTTGGGCTCTTTTGTAGGGGGTCAATTTTCTTTGGGTCTCAAAATATCCCTAGTCCCCTAATCCCGTTCCTGGGTTGAGAATGAGTGGTTTGGGCTCCAGAAATGCACACCTGATTGCTGAGAAGCTCTGGCTGGGCTTGCTGGGTAGCCCCAAGAAAGACTTTTTTCTTCCAAGGCGTTCCCTCCTCCCTGCTGTGAAATGGAACACCTTTTGTCTGAATCCCACTTCCTTCGGTGCTGACATGCAACTGTTAGGTGTTTCCCATGCCTGGCAATCACCCTAAGCGCGAAGCTTGGGGGTGCTTTGGTGATCCATGAAAAGGCTGGCAGGCATGTCTTGTGATAGGAAGAGGTTCTGTTTATAACCATATATGTCTCCCCAAGAGAGCTGATAAATAATGTGCTCACTCTGGCAGGGTTGTCTTTCCATAGCTGCCCAGGGGCCCTTTGGCCCCCACTGGCTGCTTCTCCTATTTCAATTTCCATGTCCTCTCGGTTTTGTAACTCAAGGAGCGCCCCTGGCTTAGGAACAGCTGACAACTCCACAGCTCCCAGCAGTGGCACCTGGAGAAGGGGCGGATGGGCACTGACTTGTGGGCGTGCTCTGGGGCACCCTGTCCCCGGCTGTCATGAGTCATTTGCAAGGTGAGCCAGGATGTAAGCTGTGAGGGTGGAGAACGTTTGGTGCAGACCCAGGGCATCTGGCAGGGCCGTGTGGGTGAGTTGTGAGATGGGGAAGAGCATTGCTCCCAGGAGAATCCCACAGACAGCCCTGCCACCACATCCTGATTTTCCATCTCCATCCCTCCACAGAGATGGGGCCAGCCGCACATTTGGGGGCCATTCCCGGCTAGACTCCACTCACATTGCTGAATCAGAGAGCTCAAAGGACCTTCAAAAACCCATCAAACCCAAGCTTTTTATGTTGCAAATGAGGAAACTGAAGCCCAGAGAAAGAGTAATTGTCCCAAATCAGTGTAGGAACCTAACTCCTGTCAGAGCTGTCCCTCCACAGCAGGAGAACTCAGGGGCTGCCCCCACCCCGCGTGTCCTGAGCCTCCACACCTGCAACAGCGGGAGGCGAGCACAGGCTGGTACAGGTGCTGAGGGTGAGTGGGGCGATCAACTGGAGGCAACAGAAGTCATCAGTTTCATCATCATGGTGGGTCCCTGTCCTCTCTTGCTCTGCTGACCCCTCCTGCTGCACTTCCCTGGCCCCTTCCAAAAGCAGTGGCTTTTCCTTCTGGGTTGATGTAAATCCTTCGCTGCTTTAGCCCCAGGAGAGGGACCAGCTGATCCAAGCTAGGGTGGCTGTGAAGAACACAGTGGGGCTGCTCCTGCCTCCAGCTGCCCTGTCATGATGGAGCACCTGGGGTGCAGGGAGCAAAGGGCCGTCCCAGCACAGCCTGCCATCTCCAGGGTGGCTGGCGATGGCTGTGCACGACCATGGCCAAGAAGCTGTTAGGCTCTGATGATCCCGTCACTGAGCGTAGGAGTGGGAATTTCTGAGAAAGCCCCTAAAGGTGGCAGCATGGACAAAAGCTTCTCCCTAGCTTCAAGGGGCATCTTTCCTCAGAGCTGTGGAATGCCACGCATCTGTTTATCTCCCCAGAGTGCCTGCCTGCCGACTGTCTACCTCTGATTTCTCCGTGGGCTCAGCATGCCATTGGCATTTAATCCATTTGAAAAAATAGTAACGTCCAAGCCACCGACCTTCACATAAAGGCCTTGGAGACCCCTGCCAGTGTGTCTTCTATGTGGGGACTGATTGATCCCTGCCAGATAGCCCAGTTGGAAAGGGTAAAAAGAAACAGGACCCCAGTGCCAGGAGCAAGGGACCCGTGGGCCACCGAGCAGGTAGTGGAGTTTGCCCTGCACTCGGCCAGGACTCAGAGGTCACAATAACATGGAACTGGGCCAGGGACTTTGCCGGAGGTGATTAGATGTTTGGCATTTCTGAACCAAAGGCCATGACTTTTGCTCCCACATTTCTGATTCTGTGAACAGGCTGTGCCTCCCCCCAGATTGCCAGGGTTTCTGTCCTCTTCCTGCCAAGGAGTGTCAGGTGTGCTGGTGGATTGGACATTTCAAACCCAAGCATCAGGCTGAAGCTGGGGCCCTCTGTCCCCCTCTGTCTCTTGTCTGTCCCTCAAAGAATCTGTTCCACCATTGTTTGGCCAAGACTTCCCTGTCTGGTGGTTAAGAACTGAGGGACTGGGGTTTTCCAGCCAGTCTGCATCTGTGAGGTTTGTCTTCTTCCTTTTTCTAAAAACTGTGAGGCCTGGTCAGTGGAGTCTAGGCAAAATGCTCTTTTCAGCTAGCACTCTCTCTTTCTCTCTCTCTCTCTCTGCCGCCTTCTTCTTCTTCTTTCTCTCTCTCTGCCTCCTCCTCCTCCCCCTCCTCCTCCTTTTCTTCTTCTTCTTCCTTCTCTTTTTTCTTCCTCCTCTTTTCTTCTTCACAAGCTGTCTATAACTTACTTAATCTCCCCACTGAGCCGATTTTAAAAAAGAATATTTTGTAGAGATGGAGTCTTGCTGTGTGGAACAGGCTGATCTTAAACTCCTGGTCTCAAGGGATCTTCCTACCTCAGCCTCCCAAATTGCTGGGATTACAGGTGTGAGCTACTGTGCCTGGCTTGAACTGATTAAGTTCGGGTAGTTGAGATTTGGAGAGAATAAGGAAGTGGCCAGGGGTGGTGGCTGGCAGGTGGACAAGCCCAGGTGTGATTTCCAGGACTTGATGCTGACACCTGTGGAGGAAGGCTCACCATGAGACGAATGCTGCGAGGATGCTGGATGCACTTCTTCCCTTTTTATCTCTCCAGCGGCCCCGTGAGGAGGTAGCCATTGCTATCCCTGTTTTAGATGATGAAATTGAGGCTCAGAGAAGTTAAGTACCTTCCAAAATCGTCAGGTGGGTTTCTGAGCCATTGTTATAGCAGCAAAAGATATTTTCAGGCATCCTGGACATTGTGGATGACTGGATTGTTAGAGTGACCGTCCGTTCAGGTTGGTCCTCAGCCTTGGGCAAGCCTGGAGGGCTGGTCACCCCATTAGGTGCCCCTTCATGTCTTCCTCTTCTTTTCCCACTGTGAACCTATTGCTTTGATCTTCACAGCAATGCGCTGTTATTTGAGTGGTACCCTTGGGAAATGTAGACAGAGCTCTGGGAGCAGAGGGCAGAACCCAAATCCAGGAGTTGTGAGGATTACAGGAGCAAAATTCTTTGCACAGTGCTGGGAAGGCACGAATGCTCAGTACGTGGTGGTTCTTGTTAGTAGCACAATATGGTCTGGAGGGTGGAAGAAAAGAGGGAAACTGGGAGCAACTGCAGAATTAGGCATCAGGTGCCATGGAAGCAGAATGGCTCCATTTGTTGAGCTCCTGTTCAGGGCGGGCATTCTTTCACTTTCCTGGCTGGCATCCTCATGGCTGTGACTAGGTCTGGGAGGCAGGATGGAGGCCACAGTTTCCAGGTGAGGACAGCCAGGCACCTGCCCAAGCCAGGATGGGGTGGAGCAAGAATATGAATTCACCTTGGTCAGACTCCAAAGCGCTGATTTTAATATTGAAACCCAGCTGTCTTTTGGGGGAAAGGGGATGGGGAAAAGACACAGTCAGGAGGGACTCTGAAAGAACACAAGGCAGGGAGGCAGGAAGAAGCAGAGGGAGAAGATGGAGTCTCTGTGGGAACTGGGGAGTGTGAAGGGGTTTCCAGCCAGAGTTTTAAAGAATGGCCTCAGTGCACTGAGCATTCCTATGTGCAAGGCATATCTCTGTGGTTTCACACATATCAACAGTTTCAAGCCTCCCCCCAAATCCTATGAGGTTGGTAGTATTGTCATCATCACCACACCATCATCATCACCATCATCACCACCATCATCACCATCACCATCATCATCACCACACCATCATCATCACCACACCATCATCATCACCATCATCACCACCATCACCATCATCACCATCACCATCATCACCATCATCGTCACCACCACCATCATCACCACCATCATCACCATCACCACCACCACAACTATCGTCATCATCACCACCACCATCACCACCATCATCATCACCACCATCATCACCACCATCATCATCACCATCATCACCACAAATATCAACACCACACCATCATCATCATCATCACCACTATCATTATCACCATCATCTCCATCTTACAAATGAGGAAAGTGAGGCACAGAGGGGTAAAGAAACTTGTCCAAGATCACACAGCTACTAAGTGATGCAGCTGGATTCAAATTTGTCTTACGGTTAAGTAAGGATGAAAGGACCTTCTCCTTCTCCTTCTCCCTCTTCCCCCTCCTCCCCCGTCATCATGTCCTCTTCCTCCTCCTCCTCCTTTTAAAAAGATAGTCTTTTCTTTAGCTGCAAGGCCAGGTTAGTGGAGTCTAGGCAAAGTCTTATTTTTTAGCCAGCTCCTTTCTCTTTCTTTTCTTTTCTCTAATTAGAGCTGGGAAAAGGTGAACCTTTTAGCCCCTCTGCCACATTGCCTTTTTACTGACTCGAGCTAATCAGGGAGTAGGGCTGCTAGTGGTGGTGGAGAGGGGATTTGGTGACTGGCAAGTGGAGAGAAAATTCCAGATGTGTAGGGGTGTGTGTGTGGGTGGGTGGGTGTGTTGGGGGGTGCTCAGACAGAAGTTGCTCTAGGAAAGTAAACACTTGGATCCTGGAGCTTGAAACTCACCCCATCCCACACCTTTTTATTAATTCTCTAAACCTGTATTGTAACCTTCATGGTTGATCTCCTTTCAGGCATGGGGAAAGTGCCAAGCCCTGAGATCACCTGTTGGCTTTGTCCCAACTCGCTGCTCAGGAAGCAGCTTTTGTGCATCTCTTGCTCCTGTGTCTGATGGGAAACTGGGGCGGGAGTAGCAGATCAGGAGAGAACGTGTGCTGGGTGTGGGTTCCCCGGCTGTGGGCGGGCTTTACCTGCTCCAGCCCTCCTGACCAAGGGGAGCCCATGAGTCACCGGTTCTGGCCTGCCTCACCTGTCCAGCCCTCTCCCCTGCATTGCCCCTGCCACCACCACCTCCTCACCCCATGCATTGTTCATCTGTTTCCGTATCTGTCCCCTTTAACTGAGTCACCACTGGGCTTGTCCTGGGACCAGCCCTGCTGTGAACCACACAATCATGAATGGCCCGCACATCAATAGGTTGAAACGGTTAAACAATAAAAGTCTGGCACCAGCCAAGCTGGATGGTTCAACTTGTAAAGAAACAGAATCAACTGCTGCATAGCAGGGAGTCTTGTTTCAGGTGGATTTCACGCTGGAAGGTTCTCTTTCCGCCAACAAATTAGTGAACTAGATATATACCAGAGCTACAGAGAGAAGCTTTCTCTCTAAAGAGAAAGCATGTCACAGATGAGCTGGTGGAAGAGCGTGAAACGCCTCGAACTACAGCATTGTACAAGTGTACATGTGAACTATGGTTCATCATGGTTACAATAACAACAATACAGAAATCAATCTTTATAGCCCACAGTAAGGTCTCAATGAAGAGTTATTAGATACATTAATAAAAAGTCTGTTTTATGTTTGAAATCTGAGCAATTACAGACCAAGAAACTGAGAATTCTGTGTAACAAAAATATCAATGCTGCTGCAAAACTGATTATTCCAATCTAGATTGGCTTCAAAGGTGGAGCAGTTTGAGGAACAGAAATAGATCATGAAGCCAGGATGATGAATGAAAAGAACCAGCAATGGAGATGCATCATTTAGCAGCAGTTGCCTAAAGGCAGGATTGCTGTGTATTATTGTACAGGTTGTATATGGCACAGCTCCTGAAGGTGCACCTCATAGAGACTGCAATATGCATGATGACCCTGGAGTTTTTCAAAGTGATGGCTCTGGTTTATCCCAATCGTTTAGTGAGGGATGTGTGAAAAGTTAACATCAGAGCCAAACAGTGCATATTATTCGCAGTTTTTCTATATATCTATCTATGCTTACCTTAACTGTTTAGCAAATTGCATACGTAATTCATTCACATGGATTCAGCCTTTTTATGAGAATTATAGATTCACAGGAAATTGCAGAACAATGTACAAGGAAGTCCTGTGTATCCTTCATCTTCATTCAGTTTTCCCCAGGTAACATCTTATAGAAGTAGATACAATATTAAAACCCGGAAATTGACATTGGTATACTCTACAGAGTTTCCTTGGATTTCACCGGCTTTGCATGCACTCATTTGTGTGTGTGTGTGTGTGTGGGCAGGGGGGCAGTTCTGTGCAGCCTTATCACACTGAACTGGTGGTAGAGTCTTGTAACCATCACCATAATCAAGATACAGAACTGTTCCATCATTGCAAAAATCTCCCACCTCCTTACTCCCTCCTCCATATCTAACCCCTGATAACGACTAATTTGTTCTCCAGCTCTATAATTTCGCTATTTTGAGAATGCTAGATAGATAGGAATTCAATCTTTTTCTTTTGTCAATCACTTTTTTTTTTGAGACAGAGTTCCGCCCTTGTTGCCCAGGCTGGAGTGCAATGGCTTGATCTCGGCTCACCGTAACCTCTGCCTCCCAGGTTTAAGCGATTCTCCTGCCTCAGCCCCCCGAGTAGCTGGGATTATAGGCATGTTCCACCAAGCCCGGCTAATTTTGTATTTTTAGTAGAGACGGGGTTTCTCCATGTTGGTCAGGCTGGTCTCGAACTCCCAACCTCAGGTAATCCACTGGCCTTGGCCTCCCAAAGTGCTGGGATTACAGGTGTGAGCCACCATGCCTGGCCCTTTTCAATCACTTTTTAACTAGTTATTTCACTACAGAGTTCTGACTTAAGGATTTCTATGCAAACATAAGAAGTAGATGTGTTTGAACTACAGAGACCCAACTGAGAACAAAGTGGACAATCTTGTGCCTAGAGAGGACAGACCAGGAGACAGGAGAATACTTTGATTTATTAAGCACTTAACTGGGTGCCAGGCACTGTTCTGAGGCTTCATGGAAGTTGCCGACAGAATGGTGCCCTGAGAGGCTGCCTCCTCTTGGGAGATTCTTCCCCCACCCCCACCAACACACTCTCTCTATGTCCTGTGCAGATTCCCACTGGGTCACCATCCCCCCGACAGCAGGAGTCTCTGGCTTCTCAGAGAGCTTGGTGTGAAGCACAGGGCCTCTGGCCACTGAGTTGTTCAGCTTTGGTTTTCCCTCCCCGTGGGTGCAGGGTAAACTCTCGCTGTTGGGGGCTTCTCCCCATTCCTTTGTTCTGCCCTTGGATTGCCCTTGTTGTCCCCTCCCAGCTGCTAGGACCAAATGCCACCTGGGAGCTGGATACAGGCAGACTTTACCTCCTGTAGCAACCATGGCGCTTCAGCTTCTTGCCGCTCATGATTTGGAGGGAAACACACGCGACCATTATCGGCAACCTCAGCATTTTCAGGAATTAAAGATTAATGGAGAGAAACTCATTGTCCTAAATCCCCAGCTGGGTATGAGGTTTAGGAAATTCCCTTCTTGAGGTTATTAAGCCTTGGTGGCCTGGTGAGACTAGATCTCCAGTGACAAGATATAATTGGCCTATTATCTGGGGACTTTGGGGTGAGTTGCCACAAACTGACAGTGAGGGGCTTTAAACGCAGGAATGAATGATTCAGGCATTGAAGAACAGTTACGTCTGCAGATGTTTGCAAACAGAAGTGAATATGATGGGTCTGATAAGTTTAATGCAGTGTGGCTTGAAGTAAAATCATCAACCATGGCCGGGTGAAGTGACTCACACCTCTAATCTCAGCACTTTGGGAGGCCAAGGTGGGCGGATCACAAGGTCAGGAGTTCGAGACCAGTCTGGCCAATATGGGGAAACCCCATCTCTACTAACAAACAAACAAACAAACAAACAAACCAAAAATTAGCTGGGCGTGGTGGTGGGCACCTGTAGTCCCAGCTACTTGGAAGGCTGAGGCACGAGAATCGCTTGAACCCAGGAGGCAGAGGTTGCAGTGAGCTGACATTGCACCACTGCACTCCAGCCTGGGCGACAGAGCTAGACTCATCTCAAAAAAAAAAAAAAAAAAAAAGAAAGAAAGAAAAGAAAAGAAAAGAAAAACCATCAACCACATTCTTTTTGCACTTTGATTTTGTGAACTCTCTACATCTATTTGTCAATGATCCTATGGCCTGATGCAGAGAAGATACAATCTTGGTGTTTCAACTTGCTTGAACTCTAATGAATAAAGCTCAGCTGTCTCATAGGCAGAATCCTCCAGTATTATATCCCAATAGTATACCAACCATTTCTGAAGTTGGACCACTTATCACTGTTTCATTAGCATTGTGGCTAAGTACTTCATGTTGTGGAACATATACACTTTATTAAGGCAAATAATGATTGATTGTGTTGTGAGAATTTTGTTAGAAACTTGCAGGCTCCTTGAAAATTGCCTACAGGAGATAAGACATCTGCATTTAACTTTTCTTTCTAGGTTAAATCCTAAGGCCATAAAGGCAGAAATAAAAAAGAATGATATTTGAGTTCATTAAAGTGCACACAGGGAGAGAAACAAGTCATTGTGTCGTTGTCACTGCGCTCATTAAAAACTATGTGATTGAGGCCGGGTGCGGTGGCGCACGCCTGTAATCCCAGCACTTTGGGAGGCCGAGGTGGGCGGATCATGAGGTCAGGAGATTGAGACCATCCTGGCTAACACGGTGAAAGCCCATCTCTACTGAAGAAAAAAAAAAAAAAATTAGCCAGGTCTGGTGGCGGGCACCTGTAGTCCCAGCTACTCAGGAGGCTGAGGCAGGAGAATGGTGTGAACGCAGGAGGCGGAGCTTGCAGTAAGCCGAGATCGCGCCACCGCACTCCAGTCTGGGTGACGGAGCGAGACTCTGTCTCAAAAAATAAATAAAAAGTAAAAATAAAACTATGTGATTGAACTGAAATTCACCCAAAATGTAGGCATCTTGGTGAATTTAGAAATGCATCAATGAGTGACTCATTAGGTCTTTGTTCTTCATCCTTTTGTCTTGGAAACCCCCTCTTTCTTGAGCCACTTCTCATTATGGTTAAGGCAGCTTAAAGTTCTCATGAGTCCTTCAAGGGCAAAAATAGATTCCCTTCATAGTGGATTCCAAACTGAAGCAGATAACATTAAAGCAAGGCCCACAGTGCATTGACCCTAAATAGAGCATTGGGAAGTCTTTTGTTTACAAATAAGAGCATGCGAGGCACTGGTAGTGCCCCCTTCTCTTTATAAGAGGTCCTTAGATTTATTGTGGGGACTTGCCATCACCCTTTTCTCTTTGTAGCAACTATCCTTCCCATGACAGGTATATTAAGGACCCACACTCTCTCACCTACAACCCCCAAAATGCAGAGAGCTATGAAAACGAACAGTGTTTTGTATACTTGACACCACTGTGGCAGCATCATCTGACTGGAACTGGCTTGAAACAATGTGTAAGTTTTATTTATCTCACTTGCTGTGAATGTCCATGTTTCATTGCAAAAATGTTAATATGTGAATATGAGACAGTGCCCCCATGCATGGAATTACACAATATATGGTATATGTACCACATTATCTTTGGAACAATCTGAAAAATTCTGAAATCTGTAGTACACCTGCCCCAAGGGTTTTGGATACGGGATTGTGGACCTGAAGCATACCTTTTTTTATGCATATACTACATAAACATCAGACACCCTTATTGATAGGGAATGGGATCCAACCAGATGACAACTTGACAGGCGTGCTTAGCCCTCTATTCCTAAGTCTAAGGTGACATGAACCTACCAGAGACCCCAGAGTCTGAAACTTCCTCTGCCTGCCCCATGTCCAAGCACCTGGAGTGCACCCTTTTATGCTAGCCAGGCTCAGAGGCAACCACAGCACTGTGGGCCCTGCGTTTCCCAGGATCCCTTCCTGAATATTCCACACGGGAGAGGGAGAGTTTGTGGAGAGGGCTTGGCTCACTGCTGCCAAGTCTTCCAGTGGGATGTGTAAGGCCTTCTGGTAAATTCGCTGAGTCATTTTCTCATTAATTTCTCAATCTAGTCATTCACTCGATTAACACTTATGGACTTATGGTGTGCTTTTGTTACCTAGGAATGTTTTATTGAGATCTTGGTATAAAGTGTGTGTGTGTGTACATGTGCATACGTGTGTGTGAGTAAGAAACTTGTATGCAATCAGTATTTTCCCAGACCATATTTCAAAGAATCCACTAGATGTTAACCAGTTTTAAAGGAATAATATTTCTGTGATCAAATAAGTCTAGAAAATGGTGAATTAGGCCAGGAGCAGTTGCTCATGCCTTTTAATCCCAGCACTTTGGGAGGCTGGGGAAGGAAGATTACTTGAGCCCAGGAGTCCAAGACCAGCCTGGAAAACATATTAGTAGCAAGACGATGTCTCTACAAAAAAAATGAAAGAATTAGCTGGGTGTGGTGATGCATGCCTGTAGTCCTAGCTACTCGGGAGGCTGAGGTGGGAGGATTGTTTGAGCTCAGGAATTAGAGGCTGCAGTGAGGTAGAGTGATGCCACTACACTCTAGCCTGAGTGACAAGATGAGACCCTATCTCTAAAAGAAAATGATGAATTAAACAATTCAACCGGTTTCTTCACTGCAGCACTTTTCTGAGTCCTTAATAATGCATGGCAGACATGCAAAGGTAGTGTTGGCATTGACCAAGGAATGCTGGCCTCTGGGCCTCTGAGTCCCCCCCAGCTCAGATGATTTTTCTGTTCCACAGAGGCTGTAAGAGCTAAGCAGTGAATTGCGTGGAAGGTGGCAGAGCTGACCGACTGTACACAGCAATGGGAAACATTTCTATCCTGCTCCGTCTCTGCGTTTGCAGGGGCTGCTGACGATCGTTGCCTCCTCTAACTACTCCGAAAAAATACAAAAATGCAGGTGGTCACTTGGGGCTGCGTCAGCAAAGAGAATGCTCTTCTGGGGTCATCTAACCTTGAAAATAATAGCCCCTGGAGAGCAATTTCCAGATGAATCGCTCTGAATTTCTTTTATTCCCTAGACAGCTTGCCTTCTACAACGTGGTACTATGAACAGCAAAGAACATGACTGCCCTCTGACCTGTTGGCATGTTGAGAGGCAAGATTTCTCATGATCCAGGCTCTATGGAGGATGGGAGGAATCCCATTTTCATGCTTAGTTTTACAGCTGAGCTGAGGTCTCTCCCGGGAAAACCAACAAACATGGTCTATTTTGTTATTTTAAAACAGTTTTCCACAGTTAGAGTGCTGGTTTTATCTGTGGAGGCTCAACACAACTTTATGACTCTTACACTGGACAACATTTTGCTACAGATAAGATATAGTTTTGAGATAGGATGATGGCAGGTAGGACCCTTTAGTATTTGTTTTGTTAAATAATGACTTGAGCTCAATTTGTGAATTGAACTTAGGTCCTTTCTTTTCTTCTTCTTTTTTTTTTAAACCATGTTTGTGGTTGCAGCTATCGTTGTTATTTTCATGATCATTTCTGCCACTGACTTCCTCTCTGACAGGAGTTATATCAATTTGTTTCTATTTTACTTTGTTGTACCTTGGTCTCTCCAGAGGAAAATGGGAACTTGAGAGTATTTATGAAGAAAATGCCTGTCAAATTGGGAATACTCTCGGAGTGGAAAATGGAGGCATTATGAAATAACTTTATTTTCCTCTGTGATCAACGTGTAGTGAACGCTCAATGAGATATGACTAGAATTTAAGAATGAAGACTCCACTAGAGCAAGGGTCTCTCCTATCTTCTTATCTATCGTATCTCTGGCACTGGGACAGGAACTGATAGTGAAGGTGCTCAGTGTTTGTTGAATGCATAAATGACCAATGGAAAGAAGGAAGAAAAAAGAAGGAAGGAAGGAAGGAATGAAGGAAGAAAGGAAGGACCAGAGAGAGGAACAAGACCCTCTGCTGAGCCAGCAGGTAACTGAATGTCACCTTTCTTCTTTTCTTGTCATGGAAGCCAGGAGATGTGTAGAACATTTTTCTTCTCAATTCTCTCCAAATACATATATTTTTTTAATATTACAAATTTTCTTAGATATTTCTTTCCTCCCCTCTTACGTAGGTGAGTGAATCATCTCACCGATCAGGGCTTTTGGAGCTGATGAGTACAACAAGCAATGTTTCACTACCTTCTAAAAGCATGCACATTTCTCTTTTTAAAATTCTTTATATCTTAGTAAATCAGTGTCCTTTAGTAAGAGGGTAAGCCCACATTTGGCCTGTGTGCTAGCTAGTGAGGTCTGCATGCTACTAATATTTAAATTGTTTCATCCTTTCAAAATAGTCTACGCAAACCCAAGTGACCCTAAGGCTAAGGCATTTTTCTTCTCTCATTATAGAGGAGTTCCTTTTACTCCTGAACCTTCTCCCACCTCCCACTGTTCCTTCCCCAAAGGGGCGGTGGTAGGTAGGGCCAAGCGAGTGTGCTCAGAAGAAAGAACACTCGGGGCCGGGCGCAGTGGCTCACGCCTGTGATCCCAGCACTTTGGGAAGCCGAGGCAGGCAGATCACCTGAGGTCAGGAGTTCAAGACCAGCCTGACCAACATGGTGAAACCCCGTCTCTACTAAAAATACAAAAATTAGCTGGGCGTGGCCAGGTGCAGTGGCTCACACCTGTAATCCCAGCACTTTGGGAGGCCGAGGCGGGTGGATCACTAGGTCAGATCAAGACCATCCTGGCCAACATGGTGAAACCCCCTCTCTACTAAAAATACAAAACAAATTAGCTGGGCGTGGTGGCGCATGCCTGTAGTCTCAGCTACTCGGGAGGCTGAGGCAAGAGAATGGCGGAGCTTGCAGTGGGCCGAGATCGTGCCACTGCACTCCAGCCTGGGTGACAGAGCGAGACTCTGTCTCAAAACATAAATAAATAAATAAATAAATAAATAAATAAATAAATAAATAAAATAAAAAATAATAATTAAAAAAAATTTCAAATCCACTGGACTATGAGTCAGGAGTCTGGGTTCTGGACTTGACTGAACTAACTGAGGTTTGCACAAATTCTGTGAATTTTACTTTCTGCATCTGTCACACTGAGGAGGTGGACTACACATTTATCTTCAACATCGAGTTCTTTCATGTTTGCTGAGCACTGTTTTAAATACTTACTGTATAATAATTGTATGCAGTAGGTACAATTGCAACTCCCATTTTATGGAATGAGAAACAGGCTCAGAGAAGCTCAACCCTCATTTAGACCTGGATTGAAGTTGGTCGGCCTGGCGTCAAAGCCCATATGTGTAATGCCCTTTGATGTTTCCCTTGACTTATTGATTTCTTAGAGCAGGTGAACCCACAGGCTTGGGATCCACCTCTCCCTCAGAGCTCTGCCTTTAAGATGCAAAAACAGCACAGTGGTTCAGGTCTATAGTCCCAGCTACCTGGGAGGCTGAGGCAGGAAGATTGCTTGACCAAGAGTTTGAGACCAGCCTGGGAAGTGTATTGAGACTCTACCTCTAAGAATAATTTTTCTAAAATAAGAGAAAGAAAAAAGAGAAAAGATGCAAAAACAATTAAAACCTTTCTCAAGTAATTTTGAGCCTTGTTTTCTGGATTTACTTGATTAAGCCAGTGCCGGAAGCCTCATTATGGGATGGATATTCTTGCTTGTCATCTGGTCTAGCTGTCGAGTTTATGTCAATTAGCTAGAAAAGTCCTCAAACACATATTGACATAG
This sequence comes from Homo sapiens, assembly GCF_000001405.40. Taxonomy (NCBI): domain Eukaryota; kingdom Metazoa; phylum Chordata; class Mammalia; order Primates; family Hominidae; genus Homo; species Homo sapiens. Next base: position 6,812,244 of record NC_000006.12, on the reverse strand, counting down.
AAAAGCACCACTCTGCCTTTTGTATGTTGTGTTTTTTTCTTTGACTTCTGAGACGAATAAATACAAATGAGCGTGTTAGAGAAACACTAGCAAAGACTTAGCATTGATTTTATAAACTACCAACTCACAAACAGTTCAGCTGTGGTCCTGGCTGCTGCTGATAAAGAGACAATCAGTTGGACAAATAAAATGTGGACATTTGAAAAAACAAACATGCCAGACAACCATTTAGTGATGAAGTATTGTGAAGGAAGAAGCCGTTTCCTTTGAAGCCGAGTGCCCAATTTTGCTTTCCGGGGTGCACGTGAAGCTTCTGTTAATGACAGCTTTGTGTGTGCATCTGAGGGTGGATTTCTGCCTCAAAAAGAGAAATGACGAAGGTGATGAGGGCGTGCCTTGGACAACAACTGAACTATTGTCCTGGCCACCCCCTACCTCCTTCCTTCGTTACTGGATCCCTGGGCTTACCCAGTCACTGTGATAAGGCAGCAAGCACAGAGATTTTCCCTGGAGGCTGGAAGTATTGCCTCTTTCCCCTCCTCCTCCTCCTCCTCCTCTTTCGCAATTGCAGCAACTGCTCCCACTGAGACCCCATCCCATCCTGTGCCACCTGGGATTCTCCTATTTCAAAAGAAACCCTTGCTGGAACAAAGCCTTGAGAGGAAATGAGTACAGAGAGAGCGAGTCATTTCCAGGGAGGAGCCCTGTAAGAACAGACGTCAGACTATGACCTCACCTGTCCCTCTACCTGCAAAGGACCTATTGACATCAATTGCATCCTAGACCTTGGCCCGGCTTCCAAATCACCAGGAGCCTCTTCCTTGTTTTCCTAATAGCTCCAGATAACTTTTGTAGGGAGTACTTTTGCTTTCTGTTTTCAAACCACCGTCATTTCCTTATACTCTCTACTTTTCTTTAGCAGGAAAAGACCCGAGATCACAATGACGTGATTTATATTGATCCCTAGTTAGTCATCAGGAATGTCTGAGTGAAGAATGGAAAACAAAGGGATGCTTGAGTTTACAATGCCCGAGTGTCCCTCGTGGAGGGAGTGCTGCCTCTGGATCCAGGATCAGCAGCTGTGGAAACATCTCCCTTTTGCAGAGGGTGGGTGCTGCCCGAAGTGAGACCCCAAATTTCATTCAGAGGATTTCTTTTCATTTGCTCCCTTTGGGCTGTGATTGTGTCAGGCTTCCAGCATTTTCTGCACCCAGGATCAAGTCGAGTTGGAGGAGCTTATTCTGACTTAGTCTATGTGAACACTTTGGCTTTCCCAGGTACAAATCAGCTCACAGCCTGCAGAACAGAAACTGACAGCGCGTCAGAGACCTGCATGACAGTCCTGGCTTCCACTCTGGCCTCTCAGTTTCCTCATATGTTCAGTGAGTTCATCATCCTTCTCACACAATAAAGATGAAGACCAACACCACCTGACATTCGTTGAGTATTTACTAGGGGCCAGGTGTTCTACTAAGTGTTTCCAATTCATATTCTCATTGAACCTCCACAACTACTCGATGAAGAAGGCATAATCTCTGTCCCCATTTTATAGATGAAGAAAGTGAAGTCTAGACATAACTTACCTGCCCAATGTCACACAGCTGGGAGTTTGCCAAATTAAGATCCAAATCATGATTTTTTTTAAATTCGTTGCAATAATCTCACTATACTATCTCTTGGAATCAGTAAAGCTCTATTTATGTATCTAAAATTTTTGGAGGAAGATATACTTTTCACTTCCCAGAAGCCTTGAGATCCGCTGCCCACCCCCCCGACCTGCCCCCACCCCTGGCACTTCTGGTGCTGGTGGGAGAGAGAGGTGGTAGGCAAGAACCCTGTGCTAGGAGCAGGCAGCCTGGCCCCAGGTCCCCTCCTTATCAGGAATCTCTGCACACCTCAGCCTGGAAAGAGATGACCTGGTTGGTGATCTACCGTTAAGACCCTGAGATCAACCAAGAGAGGTGCACCTGCCCAAGCAGGACCCTGCCCTTCCTTCCCTATGAGGCCCCTCCCATCCTCCAGTCCTTGTACCTGCCACTTCTTCTGCCACAGGGCTCTCCCTGCTCTCTGACCACCTTAAACCTCTCCTGACCTCACCTAGGACCACGTGTGGATGGTCTATTTTCTAGTCCCTACCATCAGCACGGGGAGACTCAGGGTCCTCTTATGGTGCTTCCTTGCCAACATGTGTTGTGTGTGTTTGTGTGGGATGTAATTTATGCACCGCACAATTGGTCAATTTAAAGTCCAGGCTGGGTGCGGTGGCTCATGCCTGTAATCCCAGCACTTTGGGAGGCTGATGTGGGTGGATCACTTGAGGTCAGGGGTTCAAGACCAGCCTAGCCAACCAACATGGTGAAACCCTGTCTCTAATAAAAATAAAAAACTTAGCCAGGCATGGTGGTAGTCACCTGTAATTCTAGCTACTCAGGAGGCTGAGGCAGGAGAATCACTTGAACTTGGGAAACGGAAGTTGCAGTGAGCCCAGATGGCACCACTGCACTCCAGCCTGGGCAACAGAGTGAGACTCAGTCTCAATAAATATTTAAATAAATAAATAAAGTCTATAAGCCAATGATTTCTAATGCATTCACAGATATGCGCAACCATCACCACAGTCAGCTGTAGAATATCAGAAGCCCTTTTAGCTACCCCTCTCCTACTGCCTCGCCCCTCCCCCCACCAGCCATAAGCAACCACTAATCTACTTTGTCTCTCTCTGAGTGTGTGTTTTAATTTACCAAGCAGATGAAGGAGGAGTTAAATGAAAACTTCTTCTCTTGCAGTGAAAATTATGATCATTTCTATGTGCTCATGAACTTCCAAAAGCATAAAAATCTTTCCCCAAAGAGCTGACACAACGAGATGGGGCAGGCGCCCATTTGTGAACATTGTGAGGTAAGTGGTCGCTGTTCATTAGAGAAAACTAAAGCTCCTACTTTCTTCCCCCTTCACTGTGCCTGGAGGACTCCAAGAGACACCTCTTTCCCCAAACTACCTACCCCATTAGTAAAGTGAATGACTGTTGAAATAGCCAATTATAATACAGACACAGGGACCTTCAGACAGAGGTGGAGGAGGTCCAAATCCTGCAATCGCAATTTGTGCTTTTTAAATTGTGCAATCACAAAGCTGGAAGGACTTTAGAGTTCACTCGGCTCCTGTTTAGTATCCATTTTACAGATCTGCGATCTAAGGTTCCAGAGAGGTTATGACAGGACCAGCAACCAGGTGTCCATAAATCCTGAGCTATTCTGCCCCACTTCCCATCATTCAGCAGGCAGAACAAAACACATTTAGTTAAAGTAAAGCAGGTCAAACGGGGCTGGAAGAGTTTCAAGGGAATCTGTAGAAGATGCAACCTGCACATGAAAGAAAGACACTGGACTCTAGTGATTAGAAAATATCTTGCAAGCTATGGTGGAGCTCACCTGTAGTCTCAGCTACTTGGGAAGCTGAGGCAGGAGGATGGTTTGAGCCCGGGAGTCCAAGGCTGCAGTGAGCCATGATCACGCCACTGCACTCCAGTCTGGGTGTCAGAGTAAGACCCTGTCTCTTAAAAAAGAAAAACAAACACACACACACAACAGAAAGAAAGAAAAAAAAGTTTCAGAGTCCCTCCCCAGGAAGCACTTACCAGTTAGTTACAAAGAAAAAGTGACCATGGACTTTATGGTGGACTTTGTCTAGCTGGTCACCTGGCCAGGTGGGACACGGAGGCTTATTTGTGCCCCAGTGGTGGCAGTTGTCAGCACTTTGACTTTCACAATCTATTTTAAAACATTAAAAGGAGAAAACAGCCTGGGTTCGGCCCTCATGAGAAATGAAGCAGAGTGTTTGTTGAGTGACTATTGCACCCTCAGCACAATCCCCGTGGAAAGAGCAGGATGGCGATCAAAGAAAATGTGGTGTGATGCCTGCTCTGTGCAGTTTACAGTGAAGCTGGAGAAAGACGCAGCACATTGGAACGATTAATTACATAATTAAGTTTTAGGGATTCCATTACTAGCTTGAAATAGTAAAATTACGTGTCCAAAAGGGAGCTAAGTGGCTTGAAGTTGCATAGGGGATGGGTTGGACTTGGAGTAACTTTGAAGGGCTGCAAAGATAAAGGGTGGCAGGAGGGACCCTGAGAATGGGAAGGTTGCACCCAGGGGCTGAGCAGGAGGAGAAGAACCCCCTGCAAGGTCTGGACAAGGGCAATATATTAGCTTTAAATAGAACTGCAGTGCCTGAAGAGTTCACAAAGATTACAAACTCAAAAGATCCGTGAGTCTCCTTTGCCTAAGCGAAGAGCTCATAGCTTCCAGTGAGAATTCCATGTCCTTTCTGAAGTGTTTAATTCTCCTGGGTTTGGGCAGGAAACATAGCCGTGATCTTGCCATGTTTCCACAAATAAGGGGGAGCCTTGTGTTGGGGCAAATTCTCTCTTTCCATTCTGAGATACATCCAAAGTCACTGTAAAGGGAATCGGCCCACCATTCCCTCAAGAACTGTGGCTTCCAGAGAGGCTCAGGGATTTTAAGGAGGAATGGATTTATTTCTCCCCAATTTGCTCAATGTAGTGTTTACCAGCTCTCTGCACCCAGGGGCAGAACGCCTAGGAGCTGATGGAATTCAGTGGAGGGGTTTCTTCCTAGAGCTGGAGGGAGAACAAGTAGGCAAATCACCTTTGTTGGGACACTTGTCTCTTCCTACGTATGAAACGATAAATGACTTACATGTTAGAGAAAAGCTTTCCTTTAAAAACAAAAACCAATTTTTCTTAGCAAGAATGTCTAGTCTGTGTCAGGGCTGTGGAAAAGTTCCATTTGATAACAGAAACTTGGAAGCCACTCTTTTGAGTACAGGCCTGTGAGCTCTGAAACAAAAGCACATCCCTTGGCTTTAATCTTGAAGGCTTTTCAACATCCTTGCTGCGAATGTTTCAACCAACACAGGCACGCCCTTCCTGAGGATCTCAGGGCTGTCGGAATTTGAGAAGATCTTTGATATTTTAATAAAACTGGCTTAGATTTGTCCCCTTTAAAAACAAATGAAAATGAGCTACAATCCCAGAACGGGACCTATGTAGTGCATGTATAGTCATGGCAGGAGGGGCTGGGTTATGGTGCATAAGCAAACATCCCCCGCCCCTGTTTACTTCTCTTTCTCATCATATGTCCATTATGCCTGGGGCAATGCCCTTCTTCACATCAGCCTCATTTCAGGAACCAGTGGCCGAGCAGGCACCATCCTTAGTTCGAATGGTCCCCAGGATAGAGGAAGATATGCTGGGTGAGTCATCGCCGCTTTCTGGAGCTTCCGCCTAGGCGCAACACTCCCGTGTGCATTGCCTTGGCCACTTCTAACTTCAAGACAGCAGAAAAGGCAATTCCACTGTGTGCCTGGGAGGAGAACTGAAAAGCTGGTGACTTCCAAACTGCTTGGCCTGTGAAGGGTCAGGGTGAAATGGTGGTGCAGTCTGGTCTAATAGCCTAGGAGACCAGGGATTTTCTCTCATTAGCCCTTGCCCTTAGGGAAATCATATAACCTCAAAGAGATTTCATTTCTTTACTCTTTAAGTAGGGAGTTGGTAGGAAGGGGTGGTGAATGGAAAGGAATAATTACATCTGTCCAACCTGCCTTGTAGGAATGTTGCATGGATCAAAATAAGGCAATGCCAGTGAAAGTGAAATGGGAATGAAAGGAGATAAAGCATTTTAATGATGGGCTGGTGTTGTCCAGGGAATTGCAACCCAGAGGTGATTTGCATGTGCAACTGCATTTTTTTTTTTTTTCGAGACAGAGTCTCGCTCTGTTGCCCAGGCTGGAGTGCAGTGGTGCAATCTCGGCTCACCGCAACCTCCACCTCCTGGGTTCTGCCTCAGCCTCTCCAGTAGCTGAGATTACGGGTGCATGCCATGACAACTGGCTAATTTTTGTGTTTTTGGTAGAGATGGGGTTTCTCCATGTTGGCCAGGCTGTTCTTGAACTACTGACCTCAGGTGATCTGCCCGCCTCAGCCTCCCAAAGTGCTGGGATTAAAGGCGTGTGCCACCAAGCCCGGCTCGTGCAGCTGCATTTATTAGGAAAAGGTTACAGGTAAGAGAAAGTCCTGAATAGCTGTAGCTTAAATATGAGAGAGACATTTGTTTCTCTCCCAGGTTAAAGGCCAAGAAGCCCCCAGTCCAGGAGGGGTTTGGCAACGCCACAATTCTTAGGACCCCGGCTCCTTCCGCATCTCTTCTTTGCCATCCTCCATGTGTCTCCCTGTCTTAGTTTGGGTTCTCTAAAAACCAGAGACTGAGGCCAAAGCTAATGTACAAATACTTTCTTGAGGAATGCAACTCCAGGAAGCAAGAGGAAGGGGGAAAGAGGTGAGGCCGAGAAGGAAGGAGTAGAATACAAAGGGGTGCTTTACGAGGCCGGCCCCAGCTTTCAACAAATGCAGCTAATTGTTTAGTTTCACAGAGTGTCTCTAGAAAGGCCCACTGGGGCTTGGAATAATACATATGAGAAGAAGGGAGAAAAATTTGCCTGGCCATGTCCCCCATTAGTCAAAGTTGGCTTCACGGGGCAGCAGGACTCCACACTTCCAGGTGGCACCAGCTGGCATCTCCTAGCTGGGAAAAGCAGCTCCTGAAACAGCAGCAGGAGCATCTGCATTGTGAACACAGGACCTGGGGCCAGTAAGTGAGCGGGTGTGAGTCAGGGGGACTCTCCACCTGCCCATCTCAGCCCAACAGACCTTGTCTGGAAAGGCCGTGTGTCTACCTGAATGAGTAGATCCCCGGGTTTCTTGCTCTTCACAGTAACAGGGAAGCCCTGAGGCAGGTGGTGGGAGGCATGTGACGCGAGGCATGAAGCAATGTGCTGTTGGGTTGTGCCTACAAGCAACATGGGAAGTCAGGAACATCCACCACCATGGGCCCAGCCTGGCCAGGCAGGTGAAATGTCATGGCACAGTAATCTCTGCCACCAGATGGCATGAAACTCAATGAACCTCATTTAAAAAAATAAAAACTCTTTCATGGTTTACAAGAAGGTGGTGATGTCAGGTGATCCTCTCAGAAGTTTAATGTGGTACTGAGCAGAGGAACCACACTTGAGCAGATCCTGGGAAGTAGATACACTGGCTGAGACATAGACTTCATATGCCAAAGTGGCTGCATGAGCTCCGGCCATCATGTCCACATTCCTGCTAACAAGGATGGTGGAAAGGAAAGACTGAGGCACATTGCCTTTATCTGTGGTCACTTCTAAAAAGTTGGACACTATGCTGGGCATGGTGGCACCGGCCTGTTGTCTCTGCTTCTGGGGAGGCTGAGGTGGAAGGATTGCTTGAGTCAGGAGTTTGAGTTCGCATCTCTAAAATAAAAAAGAAAGTTGCACACAGCATACCTGCTGACTTTTCACTGGCCCAGACTTAGTCCTAATGCCACACCTAGAAGTAAAGCAAAGGCAATATTCTGAGAGATCTCATGCATAGCTGAAAATTGCCAGAATGGTAAAATAGAATATTGAGACGAATTGGCAGCTTATGGCACAGCTGCCAGGGTTGGGAGCGCCTGAGGGGGCACTGCAGAGTGTGCCCAGTGTGTGCTCCCATTTCAAATGGGCATGAGCAGGATGGGAGGGGGAGGAAGGAGAGTGGAGATAAGGGAATGGCGGTGTGGAAGAGGTTCAGGGGAAGACAGAGATGCAAAAGAAGAAGGGAGAGGGAGGAGACAGGCAGTGAGAAACGAGGGTGAGGCAGAAAGAGGGACAAGAGGATTGCCCCACCTGCAGATGGGACTCGTTTTGTTTCTGTGGAAACCATGGAGTTTTTAGTGGGCAACAGATGAGGATGAGGATGAGGGTGGGTTCTTGCCGGCAGCAGCACCTCTGTCCAGCCAGGGCTGATGTCGTGCTAGCCTTGGCCTGTACCCTACCCTCCTCCTGCCCCTTGCCCTAAAACCCAGCCAGGCAGACACTGCCTCCCCCTTTTCTACCTCCTGCCTCCTTCCCCTCCCATAGTCTTGGAGCAGGAAGTCAGACATATTCCTTCTAGGGTCATGTGGACTAGATTCACCCCATCAGCTTGGCATCAGCCTCAGGCTCTTCTGTGGCCCTCTTGCACCTGTACTCTGAAATGGCCTTTCTTGTTTCCAAAAAGCTTCTGGGGAGATGGAAATAAGGTCCAATCTGCAGGACATTATGGCCAAATCAAGGATCCCTAGCCACTTCTGGGGCACTAAGATTGCAGAAGGATCATAGACAGCATTTGCTTAGGACAGACATCACGATGGAACAGAACCGTGAAGAGAGGTGCCCTCCTCGCCTAGTGGTGTCCTGAACTGAAGCTAGCTGGGTGCTTCCCCAAACCTGCGTTAACTGAAACCAGCCAGGTTCCTCCCTGCCCGGCCTCATTACTCATCTTGCCACATCTTTCTTCCTCCCTGAAGGAGGAGCCTGGCCCCAGGTGTGTCTCAGCACTGCAAGACGCTTGGTGCTCGCCCGGCCTCGAAGGCTCACTCATGACAGAGGCATCCATGTACCCCTGGGACACGTCACGGGGTGTGTCCAGCACCAGGAAAGGATCTGCCTTTTTGTGTTTCCCTCCCCTGAGGCAGGGCAGGAGTCGGGCAGGGACTCGCTGGACTGTGAGGAGAAGCAGTGTGTCCTCACCTTTCCACCTTCCTCTGGCCACAGCTTTAGCTGCTGAATGATAACAAGGCTGCCTGCCGATCTCATAAGAGGGCATCTTGGGCAAGGCAAGGAGAAAGGGCTTTGGAGTCTTGAGTTCAAATCCCGGCTCCCCCAGCTGCTGTGCAACCGTGATGTATGACAGCCTCTCTGGGCCTCAGTGTTTGTATCTGCAAGATGAGGCTCTGACATAGACCTGATTAGGTTATGGTGAGGATTACACAATCCCTGCTTGAAAGGCACCTGGCTTGTTCTGAGTAAACCCTGTGACTCCCTTTAATTCCTGGTGGGTGGCTTGCTTGTGCCCTCATGAGGTTCAGCACTTGGCAGTACCCTGTCACCTGTTCATCATTAGCAATGACGGACGCAATGCTTCCTCTGTGACAAAGCCTCATCCGACAGAGCAGGACTGCAGGGCTTCTCCAGGGCTTGGGGAGGGGGACAAGGGCAGTGCGCACAGTTCCTTTTTGTTTGCTGATGCCACACTAGGCACGTGAAAGGGCTGGGTCAGAGAACCCAGCTTGGCCCACGCTGTCTCGGTTGGTGGCCGTCCTCACCTTCCTCACCCTTCAGATCCCGTAGGGAGCCCCTGCGGTGGTGCCATGGACGGGAAGCATCCCACCGTGCTTGTGGCTCACCTCGAGGTCCAGGTGTCACTGCATGGCCTGAAAAGGACTGTCTCCGAGCAGGTGCTCCCTCATCTCCCCTCTCCCGATTTCTACAACATCCTCTTCCCTGGCTCCTCGCCACTCCCTCCACTCTTTTTTCTTTAAACTTTTATTAAAGAATAACATCCCTCAATTTTTTTCCCTCCAACAAAGAACAAGCTCATGACCAAGAACAAAGAGGACATCTTGACCGTGTAAGTAATGATGACCGCTCTGTCCCCAGCTCATAGGGACCCTGAGGACTCCAGGTTGCCTCCCTATGTTGGCTCCTGATTCAAGCAGATGGCAGGGGGGTGTGTCCCAAGGAGCTGGGTGCTGATGTCAGGAGCCCAGCACCCTTGTGGAAGCCAAGAACGACACTGAGGGGGCAAGAAGAGACTGTGATGAGCTAAGTGATGGTGTTGTCCCCAGCACGCAACAAGGGCTGGTGCGGCAACTGGCGACCTGAGAGGGAGGGCTGGTCCCAGCAGGGAGGTGTTCATAGAAGGGAGAGATTTTCGGTGAGGAGTGGCAGCACAGTCATTCTCAACCCAGTGTGTCTTGGGAGATGCCTATGGGGTGGAAGTTGGATGATCAGGCTGTTATTGGGTCAATCTGATTCAAGGAGAGGGAGGAGAGGTGACGTGGCCAGAAGGAGGGCAGGAGGGTGGACAGCAGAGAATGCAGCCGGCCACCCGGGCCATCCCCCTTGCCTCCACTCACTCATCCTTTCCCACCCCTGGGCCGAGGATGCGTCTCATTAGGTAGTTTTCAGATGGGTAAACTGAGGCAGGAGCCATTCCAGGCCCAGAGAGGAGAGCCAGGAAGGCACGTGTTGTAATCCCTGGGTTAGTTTTTCATTCACACACAGGGGAACCTCTCCAGCCCTGCCACTCACTAGTTTTAAGAGGCTCAAGTGTTCTGATTCCTGGCAGCAGCAACGTGGTAATGCTTCTTTCTTGTTCCCTCCCTGATCCCTTCTTCCCTCATGCTTGAGGGCTTGGCCCCGCTTTTCTCCATGTATTTCCACCAGGGTGCCACACTGCCTGGAATTGCAACCGCTGGGGCCTTGTCCAGTTTATTATCTCTCACCACAGGTGCAGGAAGGAGGCAGGGAGCAGGGCTGTGTCGCAGAGCAAGGCCAGGGCATCCCACCCCACCATGGCCGCCCATCCCCATGGCCTCCCTCAAGATCAGGAAACTGCTCCACATTGCAGTAACTAAGTGCACCAGGCGTGGCTGCTGGTGAGGGGTGGTCAGGCAGCACCTGTGGCCAGCCTAAAGGAAGGTCAAGGTTTGTGAAGGCATCTGGTGCCTCCCCTGTTGAAATTTCTTTTTCTCCTCCTTATTAGTTGAATCTTAAGAATTGACAGTACCATAAAACGTGAAACCTTTATTTCTGCTTTTTAAATGGAAAACCGGGCTGGGCACAGCGGCTCATGCCTATAATCCCAGCACTTTGGGAGGCTGAGGTGGGCAGATCGGCTGAGGTCAGGAGTTCAAGATCAGCCTGGCCAACATGGTGAAACCCCATCTCTACTAAAAATACAAAAATTAGCCAGGCATGGTGGCACATGCCTGTAACCCCAGCTACTCAGGAGGCTGAGGCAGGAGAATCGCTTAAACCCAGGAGGCGGAGGTTGCAGTGAGACGAGATTGCGCCATTGCACTCCAGCCTGGGTGGCAGAGTGAGACTCCACCTCAAAAAAAAGAAAAAAGGAAAACCAAGCAAAAGTCACTGTCAGGGGACCTCCCACCCACCATACAGGGGAACACTCGGCAGAGCCAGAGGCCTGGGCCCAAGTCCTGCCACCAGCTGGCTGTGAAACTGTGGTACAGCACCTTGTGTCCTGCCACCAGCCGGCTGTGAAACTGGTACAGCACCTTGTCCTCAGGTCCTTGGTTTCCTCACTTGTAAATTCATGGTTCTCCATGGCATCTCTGGTCTTCAACATTATTTTGCATAGAGTCTCAGAAGCTTTAGTGTGAGCGGATGATATGGGCACGAAGCAAGGCACCCAGAAGTGGGGGCAACTACTCTGCTTTCTAAAATGCAAGGGAACCGGAAAATCCAGGAGCCGTGCCAAAGTGAGTGAGTATTTTCTTGGGCCACCAAAGGGGTCTGAACTGGTGTGGCTTGAGCTCAGTTTTTGTGGTTCAGATAGATTTGAAAACTCACTTCTCCCCATTAAGCACTGGAAGGAATTAGTCACCCTTCTTTGTGGAAGTGGAGAGATTCTCCGAGAGCTACTCAACAGGCTCCTTTGAAAGGTTCTCAGGACCAGCACTGTGCTGAGTGTGTGTGTGTGTGTGTGTGTGTGTGTGTGTGTGTGTGTGTGTGAAAGAGAGAGAGAGAGAAACAGAGAATGTGAAGGTATGTGAGGGACAGAGGGAGGAGTGAGAGAGAGACACAGAGGGAAACAGAGAGAGATGGAGAGATGGAGGGTGAGTGAGACAGAGAGATATACAGTGAGGGAGATGGAGAGAGAAATGAAGAGACAGAAAGAGAAAGAGAAAGGAGAGGGAGAATGAGTGTGGATAGGGTGGAGGGAACAAAAAGATTAAGATACAGTCACCAACCTCTAGGGTTTACCATCATGCCAACAAATATAGCAATGTTCCTGGGTAGAATAGGGCCATGACAAAGGAGGATAATGGAAAGGGTGGTTAATTCTGGCCAGAAGAACCCCAGAAGACTTCCTGGAGGAGGTGGCATTTGGCTAGTGTTTTCCATTCAGGGTGAGCTGGGTATCTGTGGGTAAGAGCTTCAGAGCAGAGGGAACAGCAGCTGCAGAGATAGGACGCTGGCTGCTGTCTGTCTCTAAGCCTTGGGCTCCTGGGCCAGGCCTTCTTTATGCTCATTCCTTCACAGGTGGAGCAAGACCCTCAGTCCCCCCGACTCCCCACCCCTCACCACCCGGGCTCAGCTGGGGCTCCCCCTCCTCTCTAGAGGCCACACTGGGGAAGTTGCCCTCAGTCTGCAGGCAGCTATGAGAGGAGTTTCACTTCACTCAGCAAAATCTTTTCTTAGAACCACAGTTGGCTTTTACAAAATTTTCTGGCCACATGAAAGCCAAGCAGCCAGTTTTCAAAAGGCTTTCGATGGCTGAGAAGGAATGTTCAAGGAAGGCTGTTGTATCACGGACGAGACTCTTTCCATGCTTATGGTTTGAATGTTTGCTCCCTCCCAAACTCTTGTGGAAACTCAAGCCCCAGTGTGGCAGGATGGAGAGGTGGGACCCAAGAGGTGATTGGGTCGGCCGGGCGCGGTGGCTCACGCCTATAATCCCAGCACTTTGGGAGGCCAAGGCGGGCGGATCATGAGGTCAGGAGATCGAGACCATCCTGACTAACACGGTGAAACCCCGTCTCTACTAAAAATACAAAAAATTAGCTGGGCGTGGTGGCATGTGCCTGTGGTCCCAGCTACTCGGGAGACTGAGGCAGGAGAATCACTTGAACCCGGGAGGCGGGGTTTGCAGTGAGCCGAGATTGCACCACTGCACTCCAGCCTGGGCGACAGAGCAAGACTCCGTCTCCAAAAAAAAAAAAAAAAAAAAGAGGTGAATGTGTCATGAGGGCTCTCTGCCCTCATGAGTGGATTAATCCATTCATAGATTAATGGATTAATGAATTAAAGGGTTGTTTTGGGAGTGGCTGGCTTTATGACAGGAAGAGAGGCCTGTGCCTGCCCAGTGAGCTCTCTCCCCACAAGATGCCCTGTGCTGTCATGAGACTCTGCAGTGTCCCTACCAGCAGGAAGGCTCTCCCCAAATGCAGCCCCTTGACCCTGGACTTCCCAGCCTCCAGAACTGTAAGAAAGACATTTCATTTCTTCTAAATTACCCAGTCTCCAGTATTCTGTTATAAACAATAGAAAAAGGACTAGGACGCCATCTTTATGTCTTTTTACGGTTGGGATGGGGAGGGAAGTGGTGAGGAGGAGACCAAAGTTGGAGATACCTGTGAACAAAGTGACATCCTTGAGGGAGTGAGCCCCCTTCACCAGTGGTGTACATTCTGCCACCCACTCATGTTTTATTCATCTGGCTTCCACCATCTTCCTTTGCCAGCCACAGTGTTATGAGTGCTGAGGGACAGAGCGGGGAGATGAGGATTCCAAGAATGAATAGAGTGAGTTCTCTTCCTTTTAAAGTTGCAAATGAATGATTACTCAATGTGGCAGCTACGAGCTGCAGTGAACAGTGCAAAATAGCAAGTTTCTGGGTCTTGGGGAATCGAGGAGGCATTTTTTGAGTGTGGTTTTGCAGAATAAGTCAGCATTTACCCACAGAGACAAGCAAGAAAGATGTCCTAAAAAGCAAAGCAGCAACTGCAGGGGCCACCTAGGGACAAAACCCCAAGTCCTAGTCTGTTGCTGTCACCAAATGTCACGTTGCCTCTTTGTGCCTCTGCTCAGCAGAGATCACCGTTGATGGAGCATTGTGAGGCCTTTCAGGGTGAGGAGGTGTTCTGCTCTGGAACTCTATCATCATCTTACAGAACATGGTGTCAGCTTCCAGGGACTGTTTGACACACAATTTTGGTTTCCCCCAAGCACAGAACCTGGCACATGTTAAAAACCTAATCAGTGTTTTTTGTCATGAAAGCAAAGCATTGTAATTCTGTGACTAAAGCATGACAGCTATATTTTGTCAGGTAGAAAAAGAACACAGGCGGTTGTCTTGACTGTGCTTAGAAGGGCGTACACTAAACCTATTACTATTGTGGATTTTATTTGTGAGATTTTCTTTTTTTAATGAAAGAAGAGGTGTTTAACACATCTTAACTGCAATATTTGCAAGTGTTCATAAGCCTGAAATGTATAGAACTGAACTGAATTTTTTAAAGTTAGGCATCGTTACCATGATTTTAGCAGTTGTTTATTGAGTAGGGATAAGGGGCTTTGCACACTGCATGCTTTCTCTATGTCTGTTTACTTTGATTTTTCCTCTCATCTCTATGTGAAAGTGGAATACATTTCCTCAGAAGAAGCCTGACTGGAAGCAAGCATCTGCAAAAGCAACATGGACTTGTCCTTAATAGGAAGAGGAGCTGCTGGCCTGGGCATGAAAGGGAGAGCAGGAAGGCCAGGGGCTCAAAGCACAGAGATGGGGCGCAGGGAGGCAGCAAGGGGTGGACAGAGTGGGTGACCTGGAGACTGTGAGGAGGGTGTTAACACTGCTAGAGAGAAAGCATGGGTATGTTAGGCCAATCTTGCATTGCTATGAAGGCATACCTGAGACTGGGTAATCTATAAAGAGAAGAGGTTTAATTGGCTCACAGTTCTGCAGGGTGTACAAGAAGCATGGCACCAGCATCTGCTTGGTTTCTGGCAAAGCCTCAGGAAGTTTTACTCACGGCAGAAGGTGAAGCAGGATCAGGCACATACACGGGCACATCACACGGCCAGAGTGGAAGCAACAGAGAGGGAGGGAGGAGGTGCCACGCACTTTTAAACAACCAGCTCTTCAAAGAACTCACTCATCACCAAGGGGATGGCTTTAAGCCATTCATGAATGATCTGCCCTCGTGATCCAAATACTTCCCGCCAGGCCCCACTTCCAACACTGGGGATTACAATTTTACATGAGATTTGACAGGGACACAGACCCAGACCATATCAATGGGCTTGAGGCATGGAACAGATCATTCTTTGCACCTCATGCTGTCTTCATTTCTTCCCCCTCTGGAAATGAGACCAAATGTGAAGACTGTGGACACTTTCAGGCAGGTGGGACCCCAGATGATGGCCTCTGGGGGGAACCATCTGTTACCAGGTGCCCAATGGGGTAGTGATAAAGAAGGTGAACCCCGGAGCTCAACTGCCTGGGTGCAAATCCTGCTGTTCCACGCACTCGCTCTGCAACCTTGGGTAATTTAGTCAGCCTCTCGATGCTTTCGTTTCCTCATTGGTGGAGGGAGCAGTAAGAACACGTGGCTCGTGGGAGGCTGCAAGGGACCAAGTGCATGAAAGGTTTAGAGTAGCACCTGGTGGGTTGGGCACGGTGGCTCGCGCTTATAATCCCAGCACTTTGGGAGGCCGAGGCAGGTGAATTAGCTGAGGTCAGGAGTTCAAGACCAGACTGGCCAACATGGCAAAACCTCATCACTACTAAAAATACAAAAATTAGTCGGGTGTGGTGGTGGGCAGCTGTAGTCCCAGCTACTCGGAAGGCTGAGGAGGGAGAATTGCTTGAACCCAGGAGCCGGAGGTTGCAGTGAGCCAAGATCACACCATTGCACTGCAGCCTGGGTGATAGAGTGAGACTCTATCACAAAAAAAAAAAAAAAAAAAAAAAAATAGCACCTGGTGCCTAGCAAGGGCTCCACACCTAGGCATGGATCAATGTGCTTTCTATGACCCCTTAAGCCCATTTCCCCATAACACATTTTGTAGTCTCAACCTGAATTCTGACTACAAGAGAACCTGGCATAATTGCTTCTTTTGTTTAAATCAGTTACGGTGTTTTTTGTTTTTTTTTGTTTTGTTTTGTTTTGTTTTTTGAGACAGAGTCTCACTCTGTCACCCAGGCTAGAATGCAGTGGCATGATCTCGGCTCACTGCAAGCTCCACCTCCCGGGTTCACGCCATTCTCCTGCCTCAGCCTCCCAAGTAGCTGGGACTACAGGCGCCTGCCAACACACCCAGCTAATTTTTTTGTATTTTTTTTTCTTTTAGTAGAGACGGGGTTTCACCGTGTTAGCCAGGATGGTCTCGATCTCCCGACCTCATGATCCTCCCGCCTTGGCCTCCCAAAGTGCTGCGATTACAGGCGTGAGCCACCACGCCCAGTTACGGTGTTTTTAGCAGCAAGTAATACAAAGTGGCTTCTTCAATACAGATGTTCATGCTTACTTAGCAGGAAATTCAGAGGCAGATGGTCTCTCCAGACATTTCTATGTCTCCTAATCTTTTTGCCTGATTTTGAGCCATTTTGGTGATCATCGAGTGAGTCTACCAAGGTTGAGCAGAGAATGGAGAGATGGTAAAAGCCAAACTGGCCCATTTATGAGGTGCAGCCGCCATGCAGAGGAATGACGTTTTTTGAAAATAAAAGCAAAACCTGCCTGGGTTCATGTTTCCAAGGGAGCACTGTCCTTTGAGGTCACCTGGGAAGCAGGGCACTTTTTCCAGTGTGATGCGTCACTCAGGTGATTTTGAACTCTTCTCCTGGAATCTTCCCTGGAGGTAAATTACAAGTCACATTCACATCTGAATATGATTTGTTTTCCTCTTTTAACTTATTCAAGATGTTCTCAGTTGGACAAATATTTTGCAAGTCTTCATTGTAGGCAAGCAAGGGAGGAAACCACCATTTATTCATCAGCAACTGCTTTCCAGGGACTTTGCATGGGTTATTGAGTCACCTCACAATGACTTTGAGGAGCTGGCATTACTATCTCCAGTTTAAAGATGAACAAATGGGCATCTCTGCATGTGTGCGCCTAATCTCAGCTGGTTCACCTGAGACCCCCTGAACACCCACCCTAGACCCCCGTGCTGCCCCTTTTCTGCTCCGACAAGATGAAAGAAATAATCATGAACCAGGGAAAACTCACCAAACTACAGGTACAAGTGCACATTGGCGGGAAAGGAACTGCCAGCAAAAAGAAGAAAGTGGTTCATGGGACAGCCACAGCAGATGATAAAATCTTCAGTTCTCCTTAAAGAAGTTAGGGTTAAACAATACCTCTAGTATTGAAGAGGTGAATATGTTTACAAACCAAGAAACAGTGATCCACTTTCACAACCTTAAAGTTCAGGCATCTTTGGCAGCAAACACCTTCACCATTACAGGCCACACTGAGGCAAAGCAGCTGAGAGAAATGCTACCCGGCATCTTAAACCAGCTTGGTGCAGACAGTCCCACTAAGTTAAGGAGACTGGCTGAAGCTCTGCCCAAATAACCTGTGGATGGAAAAGCGCCACTTGCTACTGGAGAGGATGATGATAATGAAGTTCCAGATCTTGTGGAGAATTTTGATGAGGCTTCCAAGAATGAGGCAAACTGAATTGAGCCAACTTCTGAAGAAGATAAACCTTGAAGAACTTGCTGGGAGCTGCTATCTTATATTATGACTGCATTTTAAGAAATTTTTGCTAATGGATCTGATAAAATCTAGATCTGTAATATTTTTAAGCCCAAGCTCTTTGGACACTGCAGCTTTTTTCATCTTTTGCTTATACACTATTTCATTCTTTGCAGCTAATTAAGCTGAAAAAGCCTGGGAATAAAGTTTGAAACAAAGAGTAATAAAGTTCTTTGCCTAGGAAAAAAAAAAAAAGGCCAGGTGCGGTAGCTCACACCTGTAATCCCAGCACTTTGGGAGGCCGAGATGGGTGGATCACCTGAGGTCAGGAGTTCAAGACCAGCCTGACCAACATGGTGAAACCCTGTCCCTACTAAAAATACAAAAATTAGCCAGGCATGGTGGCAGACTGCTGTAGTCGCAGCTACTCGGGAGGCTGAGACAGGAGGATCGCTTGAACCTGGGAGGCGGAGGTTGCGGTGAGCCAAGATTGCACCACCGTGCACCATCCTGGGCAACAAGAGCAAAACTCTGTCTCAAAAATAAAATAAAATAAAATAAATCCCTGTCTTCATGGAATATATATTCCAGTGAGAAGAGGAACAAATGGAGGAACATCCCAGTCAAGTGACATTCCTAGTGACATTCACCAGAACAGAGTCAAGCTTTGGATCCCATGTTCTGTGACTTCCTCTTCACCACGCTTCCTCCACACACGTAGCAGCTCAAGGGTTTCTGATGAGTGGGGTAAGTAGGAAATGGCACAAAAAACCACAAATGACACAGAACGCAATATGTGTCTAAGAATGTATGCATGTTTTAGTAGAAGGACTTTAGAGTTAGGAAAGATTCACTTTAGCTGAGTATTGGAGAACTTCATGGAGGGATTATCACTGGACCTGCATAGGCTGGAAAGCGGGCCCAGCGGTGGGAGGGGCAGGGTCAGAAGGGCCAAGGAGGAGCTTGTCTGAAGCACATGGTGGGCGTGGGGAGAGGTATGGGAGAGGGCTGGGACCTTAGGTTGGAGCTGGTTTGTACAGGCTGAAGACTTTCTATTCGATTTCACAATCATTGCAAAGCCCTTGCAGACTTAAACAAGAAAATACTTTATTCAGCAACATTTTAGAGGGATTAGTGTGACAGTGATGTGATGGAAAAGAGATCTGGAAGGTCAAGAGACCGTTTAGGAAGCTATGAAAAGAGCCAGGACATAGCCTAGTGTTTCTAAGACATTTGGATTTCATGAACCAGCCAAGTTTCCCCTCAAAACTTGAAGAGATTGACCTAAGTGTCCCAATATTCTATTTTTGCCAAATAAGGGCATAGACAACAATAACAATAAGAACAACCACCTAGTCCCACTATCACTTTGTAAATAAAAGGACATGCTAGCTTCCCTAAGCAGGAAGGATGTTGTTGCTGTGTAGGCAGTATTTCCCAAAAAGGACATCTGGGACTTTATATTAACATATCATTTCTCCTCCCAACACACACATGCACACGCTCACATACTTACATGCTTGTTTTTCTCATTTCATCACAAAAAGGCAAGAACTTCGTTCTGGACATGCCACCAGTCCTTCACCCAGCTTCTAGGAAGCACTGCAGTAGACTATAACAGGGAACCCCCAAACAGCCCATCTGGAATGCACCTTCCCAATAGCTGCTGCTGAAGGACCACACCCAGGAATCGATGTTAATACCATGATTCTGCCTGGTATTAAAGCATTAAAGCTGGGCTCCTGGTGAGGCCAGTGCAATCCATTGGCTGGCCAGTGTCCACTGAACCTCTCCTTTCCGAATCTGAGCAAGTGACCAAAGCTGTATTTAGACTGGAGAACAGTTGCACGGGAAGGTCATGAGGGGTTGGGATAATCATCTGGGGACATAAACAAGCTAGAAAGGCAGGGGAACAGGCCAAATCTGCAGAAAGAGATCCAGGTAAGAAACCACATGGCCCCAGAGGAGGCAAAAAAAACAACTGGAAGCACAGCTGCCTCAACACCTTCCCAGATCTAATCTTGTTTCCTATGAGGCCCCTTGTATTTCCATTGTGTGTCAGTGAGATGTGCCTCTGCCTTTTCATAACCCCCTTAGGTTGACTGGTTATTTCTTTCTTGCAACCAGAGGCTTGACTAGAATTGAATTCGAGACAAGCACAAAGATCATGATGCAAATGAAAGGGACAGAGGGGAGAGAAACAGAAAACAAGTGAGTCAAATTTGGTAAGGAATTAAATCGGGTAAAAAAAAAGCATCAAATGTTACTCCAAGGTCTTGACCCAGGTAAAGTAGGTGTGTCAGAATCAGAAAACAGGAAACCCAGGAGGAGTTGCTGGGGAGGGAGGGAGTTGTTGAGTTTGAGGTGCCGGGGGTGGGCAGATGGTTGGTGCAGAGGAGCTATCCAGATCTCAGGCGAGAGTGACTACAGCGGGAAAGCGTGAGACGAGAAGGGAGAGCAAGTGGAATAAGACTGGCACAAGGACTTGGGTCTGGGCACTGGGTAACTGATCTGGGAGGGGAGGGATTTGGATGCTCCCAAGGAGTGGCGTTGAGATGGTAAAGGTGAATGGAGGCAAGATAAACCAGAAAAAGGAGCCCGGAGAAGATGAAGGACTGAGGCCCTGATGGTTTCTGAGCCCCCAGCACGTGCTCCGCAGATGGCTGTGGAATGTGTCTGAGGGAGAGAGCGTATACTTGATAAAGAGTTCAGATGGCATAAATTGTGGGATGCAAGAACAATTCTCATACCTAGGGTCACGCCACTACATTTTAGTAATTCTGGTATGAAAATTAGAAATGGGTGAGGTATATAGGGTTTGAGGAAGGAGGGGCTGGGAAGAGAGAGTTAATGGATAACATTCAAGTACACACCTGTAATCCCAGCACTTTAGGAGCCCCAGACAGGAGGATCCCTTGAGGCCAAGAGTTTGAGATCAGCCTGGACAACATAGTGAGACCCTGCCTCTACAGAAAATTAAAAACAAATTAGTGGGGTGTAGTAGTGTGCACATGTAGTCCCAGCTACTCAGGAAGCTGAAGCAGGAGGATTGCTTGAGCCGGGGAGGGTGAGGCTTCAGTGAGTGGTGATCACACCACTTCACTCCAGCCTGGGCAGCAGGGCGAGACCCTGTCTCAAAAAAAAAAAAAAAAAAAAAGGAGAAAAGATCATTGCCCAAAATGAAACTTCCTGAATAATCAATGGATTTCAATCATTTCTATCTATTTTTCAATGGTCTGATGACCTTGTGTTGAAGGACATGCAGGGTTTATTTCAAAAGGAGATTCCTGGGCCCTTGCCTCGATTTCCTGAATTAAAGTACTAGTGCTGAGGCCCAGAACCTGCCTGTTAAACAAGCTCCCTAGGTCATGCGTGTGCCCACCAATATGTGAGAACTTGTCTCCATTATCCTGAGAGGGCTGACTGTATTCTTTCACATGATTTCTTCTGGAAGCACTGAAGAGGGGTTCTTGTACCCGTCTGTTAGGAAGAAAATCAACCATTTCAAAGCACGCTGCAAATCTGAAGCCTTCCAGGCACCACTGGTGAGATAAAGGATAGAATCCAGGTGGTATCTCCTCTCCATATAACTAGGCCAAAGGTAGCAACTAGGAAGGTTTTTGCTCCCGCCCAGGAAGACTCACTTGCTGGGTCCCACTTCTGCAGTGCTTGCTGGCATCATGGCAGGGAAGAGACCTGCCCCTCTCTTTCCAGCCTCCCGAGGAAGCCTCTCCACAAACCCTCTTTCAGAATCATAAGAGCAAAGTGACTCACATCCGTAGGACTCACAGGGTGACATCAGGTTTATGGGCAGGGAAGGAAGGTAAGCTCCATTGCCTCCTATCATTGTGTGTGGCCTTCAGGCTGCAAATGTGCATGCCTGACTGCCTGAGCCCTTTCTTGGGATCAAAGTCATCTGGTTCCACCCACAGACATCATAGTTGCCCTTGCAAGAATGTCCTGAGCTGGGCATGGAGGTGCATGCATATAGTCCCAGCTACTCAGGGGGCTGAGGCAGGAGGATTGCTTGAGCCCAAGAATTCAAGTCCAGCCTGGGTAACATAGCGAGACCTCATCTCTAAAAATAATAATAATAAATAAATAAACAAAAAATAAGAATGCCCTCAGTTTAGGGTTGAGTTTTGACAAAAAGGCATCCACATCTCTCAGGCAATACAAGAGCAACGAAACTGACTTTGATGTCTCTGTTGATGGTGTACACATTGCATCATTAAAGATTGTTTGGGCTGCAACCAGCTGAAGATCCCATGACCCTTGACTTAGAGCACTAGGAATGGCCCAGGGTGAATTCTGTGGCTCTGTGATAACCCCAAGGGTGGAGGCTCTTTCTGTCTTACTACTCTACCATTTTTGGCGTGTCAGCAACATCCTGCTTTCTAGTCAAAGATGACCACCATGTTTCCTCGCACACCGTGGAAACCCAAGCAGGAGACGAGGGAGACTTGGCAAAGGGCTTCCTCCCCCTGAACCTCTCTCATCAGGGAGAGGGACCTTCCCTAGAGGCAGGCCTTGATCACATGATGACTCCACGGTCTATGACTGCAAAAGGGCACTCACTGCCATACACGAGGGTTCTGTTATTAATGAAAGGGGACTGGCCACTGGTAGGCCATAAAAATGTGTCCCGCATGGGGAATAGGTATTAATGAGTAAAGAATTCAAAGGACTTCATTTCCTCCCACCAGAGCATTGCACCCAGTGGAGAAGCATGTGTGGCCAGGGAGCTGCATGAAGGTGAAATCAGAACCTGTCCTTGGAGCACTCCTGGAAGTATGAGCAGGGGTGCAGTCAGGACGGCCTGACTCTCTGACCCTGTGACTGAGCCACAGGGGTCTCTTCTATGCTTCACTGTGCTTCTTCAATCTTGCCATCACTGTGTTGAAAAAGCATCCCTGGGCATTTGTGGTGAAGCCATTGGCAGAGCATCAACAGTCTTTCCAATGTACCAGTCCCACAGGGACCAGCCCCGGCTCCTTTACTTGGTTCATCATCCCACAAAAAAGGCTCCAGAGTGATGAGTGGAGGGAATGTGTATACAAGCTGGGAGATGCTTCAGGGATGGGGCATGACTCTGAGAAGCTCCACATGCAAAACAGGGTTATGATGGTCTAGGAGCCAGCTGCAGGGAGGTGGGCAGCCAGGAGGTGGGCTGGGGCTATCAGGGGAGTGACTGACTGCAAGGGCAGGCTCAAGGTGAAACTTTGAGAGGCAGATCCCAAGGCCCTTGGATCTGGCCTGTTACAGCAAATGGAGGAGTAAGGCAGAAAAGTCCTCTAGGGCTGTCTTCTACTCTCTCCTCCAACAGATTTTCACTGAGCATTTGCCATGAGCCAGACTCTGTTAGCTGTTGAGGTTTCAAGGGAAGGTAGAAAAGACAGAAGCAAACCAATGATAAAGATATCTATTGTCTTTTAGTGACTTTCATACACGCTCCCTCTCTTTTTTATTCTGTGCATCTCATTATCTAAGGGCTCGTTTTGTACCAAATGCTTTTATACATCATCTCATTCAAATCTCTCTGAGGTTGGAAATGCTATTTTTGTTTTACAGCTGTAAAAACTAAGGCCAGAGAGGGAAAGTGAGTGACCCAGGGCCCCACAGCTAGACAGATTCAAATCCATGGGGTCTATCTTAGTGACAAAGCTGGCACATTTCTTCCCCTCCTTGTGCCTGCTGAGGTTTTTTTGTTTTGTTTTGTTTTGTTTTTTGTTTGTTTGTTTTGGCTTTTAACATTTTACAATATTTTGCTATTTTTTCCTAATCAGGCAATATACATAAATATTTTAACAATCAACTAGTTTAAGATTTATGAAAAACAGCGTTTTCTTGCCCACCTTCTCCCAATTCTTCCTGCTCCCCAGAGGCAGCCACTTCCAAATGTTAGCCAGTTCAATTCTACATGTAATAGGAGAACGGCAATTTTTATTGATGTGTTGATTTGAGACATTTGGCATCTTCCGGTGATGAAGTTTTGTCTCTCTCTACTGGACACCATCTGCCTCTTCCAGATGTATTCTTCTCACCCTGGGCATTCTCCCAAGAGGCTGACCTGTAGGAACGCAGTGAACAGGCTACCTGATCACTGGCTTCTGGGTTGGGTGTGGCTCATGAGAGACATTGGCAGGAGACTGGATTGGAGGAAGATGCAGGGGCCAGAGTGTTTACTCTCCTAGATAAGCCCCTTCCTCCTCTTCTGGCAGGCAGTGCTCTCCATATAGCCGCTCTCTTAGGTTCTAGAAATTGCTCCTACCTTGCCCTTGAGCTCTCATGCCTAGAGGTGGCAATGACTGCCTGCTACTGTCAGTGCTAGGTACTGCACTCTGTTTTCCTAAACCCTTTTCACACTTTTATGAATAGTCTATTCATTACAATTAGATACAACTTACCCCCACACCATCCCCATACAACTATACACTCCCCTTCCAGTATCCTCTCAATATAATTATATCATATTTGTTGACATCATTAGTTGGACAGTATTTACATTATTAAACTATATAAATATTGCTGACTACATAGCCAAGTAGAGAGTTATCAGTCGTGATTGCATTTCCTTTTCTAAACTAATTTTTGTTTTTCCTGCGTTTAACTGCCCATTTTAAAAAAAGACTTAGTTTTCAATACATAGGTCTTTAATTCTTTCCACACACACCATCAGACATGTTAAATGCATGTACATGTTGTTTTCCTGTTTCAAACATTGTAAATTCTCTGTATCTTTTTCTTTGGGTGGGGGGCAAGTGTGAAGTAAACCAGCCTCCAGAATAAATAGAACTCAGTGTTATGGATTCTAAAATTAAAATCTTAACAAATTAACAAAGTGATGAAAACAGGAAGTTTAGCTCTCAAGGATCCTTTATTGGTCTTAAAGGTTTTACTCTCTTTGGCAAATATTGTGACCACTTTATAGATGCTACATATTCTACTAGACAAATACTATGACCTCTTTCAAAGTGTATCATCATTCCCCTTTTAAATAGCACATTCGAAGTGTGCTGACTTTTAGTTCTAGGGTCTGCCTTCCCCTTACCTGCTGAGTGTCACAGGATCTCTTCCCTCCTTGATTATCTCAAGGAGATACATCAACTTTTGGTTCATAAAAGAAAGTCAGTCGCTTTTATTTGTTAAAGACTTGAAGTATGGGCTGGGCGTGGTGGCTCACGCCTGTAATCCCAGCACTTTGGGAGGCCGAGGCAGGCGGATCACCTGAGGTTTGGAGTTTGAGACCAGCCTGACCAACATGGAGAAACCCTGTCTCTACTAAAAATACAAAATTAGCTGGATGTGGTGGCACATGCCTGTAATCCCAGCTACTTGGGAGGCTGAGACAGGAGAATCGCTTGAACCCGGGAGGCGGAGCTTGCGGTGAGCCGAGATCGCCCCATTGTACTCCAGCCTGGGCAACAAGAGCAAAACTCTGTCTCAAAAAAAAAAAAAAAAAAAAATTGAAGTGTAGTAGGCCTCAATCTCTGGCTTCCTGCAGTGTAGATCTTATCAACATAAGGTCTCTATTTAAAAATGCTGAAATTGTAGTCTTATTTTTCGCAAACTTTTCCTGGAGACCCTTCCCTGGAGCCCCCTCTTAGTCAGCTACTTGCTGGACCTTTCTTTCAGCATTATCAGCTATTTCCCTTTCCCTCTCCTGTGCTAGATGTCCTGTTTCCTGGATTCCATACCCTCTTATTTCTTGATTTACTCCTTTGTTTTGCTGGAGCAGATCTTCTAGCAGCTTTGTAAGAAAGCGTGCATGGAAGGTAATTTTTCTTGAGTGCCTACATGTCTAAAAATGTATATGTCCTACTATTCACTTGAATTGTAACTGGACAAGCTTAAAATTTCAGACTATAAATGATCTTTCCTCAAAATTGTGAAACATTGCTCCATTGTTTTCCTGTAATAAGTGTTGCTGGAGAGAAATCTGAAGCCATTTGATCCCCTTTTTTTGGTTTGCTATGTGTTCCCTATAGAATTCTCTTTTTAACCCTGGTATTTTGAAATTTATGGCACAGGACTTTGGTTGTGCCAAAAAAGGGCACATTTTAAAAATTTTATTATTTTAGTGGTGTTTTTCAATTTGAGAATCTTAGCTTTTAGTTATAGAAACTTAGTTATAGGAACTTTTCTTTATATAGAATTTCCTTCCTTCCAATTTATATATTGCCTCGGGAATTCCTACCATTCAATTTGAAACTTGTGGATTGAGCTTTTAAGTCTCTTCTTTTATCTCTCTTATTTCTTTTTTTCCTCTGGTTCTGTTTTCTGGGAGATTTCTTTGACTTATCTTTCAATTGTTTATTAGAATTTTAATGATCCAATTTCTTGTTTTCTGACTGCTTTACATTAAAAACATTTTATTCTAGTTTTACATATTCAATATCTTCTCTCTCTTTCTAAGGAGAGTAATCTGGTTTATTTTTATTTTAGAAGTTTTCTTCTCTTTCCTGCGTTGTCTCTGTTTCTCCTGGGTTCTTATTTTTGTTGTGTCTGTTTCGGTTTCTAAATCTTGAAGTCTTACTTTGCCTGCCTAGAGACCCTTAGCTACTTGGAAGCTCTGTGTTTTCAAGGTTGGGCTTTTAACTGGTGGGTATCAAAGTAGGGTTAGTGGTGAGCGGGACATTTTTGTGGGGACTCCCATATTTCAATATCTAAAGGAATCCTTTTTTATTTTTATTTTTCCAGGACCATTTAGTCTATCCAGGGAACTAATGTCTATATCTGTACCCTGGTTGGTAAAATGCTAGCTGTGAGCGGGGGCAGGGGGAGGTGACGAAGTGGGGATCCCTGTGTGTCTCAGTCTCCACTGTGCAAACTTACCCCTATCCCCCGTCCCTTCAGTTTTATTGACCCCTACTTTACACTGTGTGTGATGACCCCAAGTCTAGAGAATTTCAGGTTAATTTCTCCCAGAGTGTAATTGCCAGTCCCAGGCTGGGGTCGGGTGGAAGTGAAGTAGTATGTATGGGCTGGAGGGTAGTTGCTGCGGTCAAAGGGAGAAAAGGGCACATGGAGATCGAACTAGACCATGTTCTGACTTTCACTCTGCTCCCCTATTTCACACCCAAGCCTTGCACCTGTCTTTTAAGGCATCTGGTGCCTTAGCTTATGCTCTCAGAGTCCTGGAAGAGGACTGGCCTCTTCTCACACCCTCTTCTCCCCCTTCCCCTTGCAGGCACCCTAGCTCACAACTTACTCCTAAATCTGTACCATTTCTTTATCTGCTTTCCATCTTCCAAAATAATAATAATAATAATAATAATAATAAAAACACCTGCTGAGATCTCTTCTTCTGATGTCTTTTAATTCCTTTCCTGCCTCTGGAGGTCAATCTGCTATGTTTAGTTAGAAGTCCCAAAGGCCATGCTTTGAACCATTAGGTAATCCTGCTTTCTGCAAGACAACTTCAGTATCTGAGAGTTTTTTCCTCCCGTAGTAAAAACAAAGTCATTTCCATCTTTGTGTTTACCACAGCTGGTGGCAAAGACTCTCCTTGGCCAAGGCTTAGTCAGGCTCCTCTGAGCTCTCTTATCGACTAGGCTTCGGCCTTGGTCTTAGTCGTTGCCGAGCCTGCACTGCCCAGTCTTGGCAAGAATCCTGTTAAGTCAGTTTAGCAAGAATCCCTCACCCTTGATTTATGATCACCCTTAATATCTGATCAAGTTCTTTATGTACCACATTTTCTTTTCTCACTGCACTTTCACACTTTCATTTCTAACATCCCTCACTTTTGATGTATATATCCTTGGCCTGCCTTTAGCAAGAATTCTGTTAGGTCAGTTTTGCAAGAATCTCTGTACCCTTGATGTGTCCTCTTGGTAATTTTTCATCCAATCATCCCCATCTTGTTCCTTGGCCCCAGCAGTCTTTGTTGTATTTGGAGTTGAGCCCAATCTCTCTCCCTTATTGCACTGTCCCTATTGCAATAGTCCTTTAAAAAAACAATTTTTTTTTTGGCAGAGAGAGGGTCTCCCTATGTTGCCCAGGCTAGTCTCAGACTCCTGGCCTACTAGGTGATCCTCCTGCCTCGGCCCTCCAAAGTGCTGGGATTATAGGTGTGAGCCACCACATCCTGCAGTAATCTTGGATAAAGTCTTCCCTACCCTTATAACAAGTGTCAAAATAATATTATCACTGGCATTTGGGAAACAGTGCAGAAGCAGTGCAAGCAGGGACTGCGTGAGAATGGGAAAGCTAGCCTTTGCCTCAAGAACACTCTGCTTGACTTCATTAGACAGCTGCACAGGAGGTAATTTTCTAGGGCATGGTTTTTCAAACTGTGAGCTGCAACTATTTACTAAGTCACATCAACATTTTAAAATGAAATAGAATAGAGTTAGAAAATACCATCCTGTATTGCCTGTAATTAAGGGAAGTATTGACTCATAAAACTTTTGTTTCAGCTTATGTGTCTGTGCACCCGGTCAAGGTGTAAAGATGTATATATATATATATATATACTTTTTACCATGTAAACTGGTAAAATAAAATAAAATGATAAAATAAAATTATAGAAGCCACTGATCTAGGAAGTAGTTTTGGACCTTTTGCTTTCCCCCCCGCCCCCACCCCCAAGAATAGCTATACCAGTCAGGCTGATACTATTATCTCTATTTTAGAGGGGATGGATTTGGTTAGGTAAAATCTCACCACTGAGTGCTAACATGTCAATTTCTTAGTCTCTATTTTACCATAACCGTGTTAGCTTTTCCTTTGTTTAAAGCATTTTCTTAACTTTATCTTGCTTAAGAAAGCCAGGACATGTAAGATTCAAGCTTCATTTCCAAAGTGAATGAACAGATAAATGCTTGTCAGTATTAGACTAACAAAGAGATCAAAAGCAATAGGCAAAACAATCCACACATGCCTAGATGGGGTAAAATGAAGACTTTGTGAATCATTTCCTTTTTAAGTTATTAGTTCTTGGGAACCTAAGGAAGGAGTATGGGATTCTTACCTCATGGTGGGTGGTAGGAATTGTGTGAAGCATTAGTGGCAAGATTGCATGCTTAGACTCACAGTATAAGTAAAACTCATTCTATAGACAATTCTACAAAAGAATGAGAAGAATGCCATAGACCGTGGAAGGCTCATGCGATGAGCATGTCAGCCCACTTCTGCTCTGCCTTTCCTTTAAACTGGTCCACACCCCAGACCCTTCACCATTTTGGTTTTTGTAGGAAGAGAACTCAACCACCAAATACCCTGTAGGCTTGGGAGGGCATACACATGAGAAGCAGGTTCCCCTAGGCTCAGGTGAGCCCCACCTTCAAGGTGGAAAACCTTGGGGACCTTCTGGAAATGCAGAGGCAGATAGGGCTTCATGCTTGGTGAAGAGATGAGCATTCACAACTAGCTTGGTTCTCTACCAATGGTCAAAATGGTTGATTTTGCTACTGAATGAGAGACATCAATTTTCTTGAGATTCAACTATCTTTTGTGCCACTTCTGTGTAATGCCAACTAGTCATTTGGTGAGTTTATTTAGATAAAGAATCAGATTTTGAAGCAAACTTGTTTCCTCTGTGACCAAAAAAAGGGCATTTTAAGCCTGCAAATAAAACTTAAAATGCTTTATTTCTATAAATAAATAAATAAACTGAGCAAATAAAAAAATACAACACATGGAACATAAAAACTCCAGTAACAATTGGACCAGGTCACCCTTAGTGTAAATGTCAACATTCTTTTTCAAATTGTTATTTAATTATTTGTTATTCTATATTTTATTTATTTGACAGCCAAAGCTTCCCTCCCAGAGGAGGATGTTCCTTTGCCTTTGTCCAGAGCCCTTCAGGAGAAGCAGAGGAATTGCTCAGAGATGAGCTGGGATTGCTTGGGGGGCACAAGGAGATAGCGATGCCCATCATCATTGTAATAGTTAGGATTGGCTCTCAGGCATGGTGCCGAACACTTTACCTGGATTCTTTAATTTAATTCACCCGACATGAGATAGGTGTACTGACTGTCCCCATTTTGCCAATGAAAAAACTGAGGTAGAGTGAGGTTAAACCACTTGCCTAGTTCAGTGTCAGGACTGACTCTCGGCAGCCTGACCCCAGGGCCTTGACACTGACCAAGGTTGCAGTGTTGTCTGCTCCTGGAAGTTCTCACTGACCAGTTTGCAAAGTGGGATTGCTTTTTCTTTTTCTCCTTCCTTCCTTCCTTCCTTTCTTTCTTTTTTTGAGATGGAGTTTCGCTCTTGTTGCCCAGGCTGGAGTGCAATGTCGTGATCTCAGCTCACTGCAACCTCTGCCTCCCAGGTTCAAGTGATTCTCCTGCCTCACCCTCCCTAGTAGCCGGGATTACAGGCATGTGCCACCATGCCTGGCTAATTTTGTACTTTTAGTAGAGACAGGGTTTCTCCATGTTGGTCAGGCTGATCTTGAACTCCCAACCTGGCTAATTTTTGTACTTTTGTAGAGACAGGGTTTCACCATGTTGGCCAGGCTGGTCTTGAACTCCGGACCTCAAGATGCAAGAGATGACACAGGTTTGGTGTTTTGTTTGTTTAATGACAAAAGAGAAGAGCAAAAGAGAATATGGTTGAAAGGACAGGAATAGAACTTTCAAACAGAATTTTCGATCCCTAACACAAAGAATGGTATTCCAAATCTGAACACTCTAAAAGAGAGAATAATGCCATTCCCCTTCGTTATTAGAAATAATATTATTATGTCTATTAGGAAAAAAAATCACACAATTTTAATGTGCATCAGAAGCATCAGGCTGATTTTTTCCCCTCTGGATTTTATTTTTAAAGTCAGAATTGGTTTCCTGCCCTTCAAGTGCTCCACTGCTGATACCAATAGTGAGATTGTGTAATTGGCAATAAATTTCCTACATGAAGAGCTTCTGGCCAGCTCCTTTTGAAAGCTTAGAATGTTTTGCTTAGTTGGGCTTTTCTGTCCCTGCAAAGTTAGTCTCCTGCAAATTTGTGTCCACTTCTGCAGGAGGGAATTGGAAGGCTGAGGAGAAATTTGTTGGTGATGAAGTAGCACAAGACAAGGCACAAAAGATGGGGTGGGGGAGTCCAGGAGGCTGGGAGGCAGGCATAGGGTAAAATTGTTGAAAAGAGACACTATAGTTCTTTATTTAAAAAAATAAAAATAAAAAAGCATCTGAAGAATTTGCCAATTCAGCATTTATCTAGCATTTGCTTCTCTGGGGCAGTGATTCCAAATTCCCAGCCTGTCAGGAGCTGGAGCACCCTTTGCAACTGTTTGCTTGATCATAGGATTCTCTTTTCTCCCTCTTCTTAGAAATAATGCATCCATTAAAATAAAACTAAAGTGAATTTAAGATTTCATTGTTTTGAAATACATATTTTAAAAATACAAGGTTTGAAAAACACTCCCCCTGAAATAACTCTAGTCCTTTCTAGGGAGTCGTGAAACTGTAGCTTGTGGAGAGTAGCCTTCCTTCAGGCTTTCATAAAGACCTGGTGACTCAGCACTGGCGGACTTCCCAGGAGTCAGTTCCCACCTTGGGGAATAATTTTCCATTCCTGGGGGAGTCCCTCCGGGAGACACCTCCTCTGCTTCTTCAAGTCAGAGAAGTGTTCTGCCCTGCCCTCCCCCAGCCTCCTGCCAGGTTCCTGCTGCCAGCCTCATGCTGTGCTGTGTATTATAGAATTTCTAGACTTACTGCTCCTGCTTAATTGTCAACTCTTTGCCAGAGAGTTTGTGCTTGCCCCTTGTGTGTGTTGGAGTAAACTTTAATTTCTGTTTTGGAGGCTAGGGCTCTTGACTGTCATAAGTCTAATCAGAATGCCACAGAATCAGGCCGAGCACGGTAGCTCACGCCTATAATCCCAACACTTTGGGAGGCCAAGGCAGGCAGATCATCCGAGGTCAGGAGTTCAAGACCAGCCTAGCCAATATGGTGAGACCTTGTCTCTACTAAAAATACACAAATTAGCCGGGCATGGTGGTGCACACCTGTAGTCCCAGCTACTTGGGAGGCTGAGGCAGGAGAATAGCTTGAACCCGGGAGGCCGAGGTTGCAGTGAGCCGAGACTGAGCCACTGCACTCCAGCCTGGGCAACAGAGAACAAAGTTTTCAATATTGGGATGTCTTTTAAAAGACATGTATTTTGAGATAAACTGAAGTGATTTAAATATATGAGTCGATAACAAATCTTCACATTCTGCACATGTATCCCAGAACTTAAAGTATAATAAAAAAATAAATATATGAGTCCATGGGAAATACTTTTTGATGCAGGCATTCACCAAATTCTTCACGGAGACACACATAATGTCCTAAAATCTGAAAGAAAACAGTTTACCTGAGACAATGCATAGGTTGAACTGGTCAGCAAAGTGTCCACTTGTATCTTTCAAAGAAACTTGTTTCTGAAGAGCGGAGCAAGTACTGCTTTGAAAGAAGCAACGATTTGGAACTGAGAGTTCTGGATGAATGCCTATTGTTGAGTGTGCTGGATAAACGAGCCCTGTACAAAGAGGTCCAGGTACGCTGAGCGGGCACAGCATCTTTCTTGTCGCATGTAAGTC
The DNA here is from genome assembly GCF_000001405.40 of Homo sapiens. NCBI lineage: Eukaryota > Metazoa > Chordata > Mammalia > Primates > Hominidae > Homo > Homo sapiens. Next base: position 6,780,366 of record NC_000006.12, on the reverse strand, counting down.
CGCTGTCCAAATACCCGATCTGGGGTGCGACTGTACACATCCTCCTGATTTGTTAGCTCTTTCTTGGCTAAGGTCAGAGATGAAGTTCAGAACAAAATTTAGATACCCGGACACACTGAAATGCATTTCTTTTTTTGCTAATGAAGCAGGCTTGTGCAGAAGACCCTCTTTAGTCATTGCTTCAGGCCAGCATTTCCTTAAAGGGTTCATGACTCTGGAAAAGTTGAATATAAATAGGGGAAGCCCTCAGCAAAGCTTTCAGAATTGTTTTCCCTGTTTCCAGCTTTCTACTCCTTGTTCTCTGTGTCTTCCCTCAACCCTCCTTTCTCTTCTTCCCAGTCATCCATTAGGCATTTTACAACTGATGGGCTGTTCATGTAATGATTGCTACCCTAAAGGATCATCAATGGGGCCAAGCCATTGGGCGGATTGTTGAGGCACAGGGGACCCACATGTGCCAATCTCTCCAGAGTTGTTTGCTAATTGCATGGGATAAAAGCACCTTCATGATGGAGAGATCCGATGGTCACCACTTGGCTGAAATGGTCAAACTTGGCAGCACTCATCATGACACTACCCAACTTTGTGGGCCTCCTGATGGGCTGCAGCATAAAGCACACAGTCTCACTCAGGGCATGCTCTTGCCCAAACATTCATTCTGAATCTCATCAAGCCTCTAGACCTATCCTTCAAGTTACTGGAAATACGGGGGCAGGCTAAGGACAAGCTACACAGTAGGATGAGGAAGCAAACCGACACATCAAGAATAGGGGAAATTTTACAAGAAGACTGTCCTGGACTCAGGAAGAAAATCAACATCATGATTTAAAAGTGTGTGTCGGGGGAGTGGTTGGGGGGACCGTTCTAGAGGAAAAGATTAAAGGAGTCTAAAGAGACATGAGAGTCAAATGAGGAATATTTACCTCAGATCCTCGGTCAAAACAACAGCCACCAATAAGGTGATGAAGAACAGGAAAAAAAAAAACATCTAAGAGAGACATTTAAGGAACAGTTGAGGAAATTGGAATATGCACTAGATATTAGGTGACAGTAGGGAATTACTGTAGGGAATTTCTGAGTTGCGATCATTGCATTGCGGCTTTTTAGAAGAATATCTATTTCTTTTTTAAATTTTTGCATTTTTAGTAGAGATGGGGATTCGACATGTTGGCCAGTCTGGTCTCGAGCTCCTGACCTCAAGTAATCCGCTGGCCTCGGCATCCCATATGTCTTTTAGGATTACAGAATTCACATTCAGTTCCAGGGATGAAGTAACAAACACTAAACTGGCAAGTCCAATGTATAAGAAATAGAACCCACTAACATGCCTGAATGTCCACCCACACCAGCCAAGCAGAACTTCCAGCAGCCAGGCAAATCCTGAGGAATCTTGTGAAGCAGGTCAAGGGGTTGCCTGTCTTCTGGGTTGGGGACCAGGAAAGGCCAACTGGAGAGTCTTCTTGTCCAAGTTGCTGTTTTGTGAGGTTTTGGTGTGTAGCTTGCTTTTTTCATTTTTTATTGTTGTGTAGTTCTCACCTCACATGAGAGACTCCAGCTCTTCTGCTGTTGTTCCAATAGCCTTTGTAATGCGATTACATGGGCAGCTTCTAACTTGCTCAGTCGTGGGGGAGTAGAAATACATGATTGGAACTTCAGGGTAAAGGTGACAGGGTGAACCCATACATCTATAAGAATTTCCCCAAGTTTTAGTAAATGAAAATAAAACGTGACCCACCAGAAAGTATCAGAGAGAGGAAATGTAAAGAGGTCACATAAAAGAAACAGTATTTAGAAAAGCTTTTATTTTATTTTATTTTATTATTATTATACTTTAAGTTTTAGGGTACATGTGCACATTGTACAGGTTTGTTACATATGTATACATGTGCTATGTTGGTGTGTTGCACCCATTAACTCGTCATTTAACATTGGGTATATCTTCTAATGCTATCCCTCCCCCCTCCCCCCACCCCATAGCAGTCCCCGGTGTGTGATGTTCCCCTTCCTGTGTCCATGTGTTCTCATTGTTCAACTCCCACCTATGAGCGAGAACATGCGGTGTTTGGTTTTTTTGTCCTTGCGATAGTTTGCTGAGAATGATGGTTTCCAGCTTCATCCATGTCCCTACAAAGGACATGAACTCATCATTTTTTATGGCTGCATAGTATTCCATGGTGTATATGTGCCACGTTTTCTTAATCCAGTCTATTGTTGTTGGATATTTGGGTTGGTTCCAAGTCTTTGCTATTGTGAATAGTGCCGCTGTAAACATATGTGTGCATGTGTCTTTATAGAAGCATGATTTATAATCCTTTGGGTATATACCCAGTAATGGGATGGCTGGGTCAAATGGTATTTCTAGTTCTAGATCCCTGAGGAATCGCCACACTGACTTCCACAATGGTTGAACTAGTTTACAGTCCCACCAACAGTGTAAAAGTGTTCCTATTTCTCCACATCCTCTCCAGCACCTGTTGTTTCCTGACTTTTTAATGATTGACATTCTAACTGGTGTGAGATGGTATCTCATTGTGGTTTTGATTTGCATTTCTCTGATGGCCAGTGATGATGAGCATTTTTTCATGTGTTTTTTGGCTGCATAAATGTCTTCTTTTGAGAAGTGTCTGTTCATATCCTTTGCCACTTTTTGATGGGGTTGTTTGTTTTTTTCTTGTAAATTTGTTTGAGTTCATTGTAGATTCTGGATATTAGCCCTTTGTCAGATAAGTAGGTTGCAAAAATTTTCTCCCATTCTGTAGGTTGCCTGTTCACTGTGATGGTAGTTTCTTTTGCTGTGCAGAAGCTCTTTAGTTTAATTAGATCCCAATTGTCAATTTTGGCTTTTGTTGCCATTGCTTTTGGTGTTTTAGACATGAAGTCCTTGCCCATGCCTATGTCCTGAATGGTATTGCGGAGGTTTTCTTCTAGGGTTTTTATGGTTTTAGGTCTAACATTTAAGTCTTTATTCCATCTTGAATTAATTTTTGTATAAGGTGTAAGGAAGGGATCCAGTTTCAACTTTCTACATATGTCTAGCCAGTTTTCCCAGCACCATTTATTAAATAGAGAATCCTTTCCCCATTGTAGAAAGCTTTTCAATGATATTGTTGGAAGGTAGGGGATAATCAAGCAATGCTTTGAAATATCTAAAGGAAAACTAATTCCATCCTGGAACTCTATGCTCAAACTGTTACTTGAGTGTATGGGAGAATAATACACATTTCCTAGATATGTAAGGCTCAAAACATTTACCTCTCATGTTATTCAAGAAGCTATTGGAGGATTGGCTTCTCCAAAACAAGGAAATAAGAAAGAAGGATGCATAGAATGCTAGAAAAGGGGGAATTAATACATGAAAAAGGTGGAAGGATCTTTCAGACATCCTGGGAGGACTGCTTCACCCTGGGCAGAGAGGGCAATCATTCCTGATCTAAGACATCAGAAACCTCCAGAAGAGTCCCAGATGGCCCAATAACCTGAAAATATTGAGAGGTTTAATAGGTGGTTGAGAATTTGGGATTGGATTAGTGGAAGGTACAGAAAAAACTAACTAAGCAAAAGAAAGAGAATGATTATTAACTTCTAGAAAAACACAGTTTTTAGGAAAGAAAAAGTCATCATAGTATACTATGTGGCTCAGTTGTGAATGGCATCTTCACAGTCATGGTAATGTAAGCAGTGGATAGTGATCCAATTAAACTTAATAACAGAAAATATTGGTGAGGTGGGAGATCAGCAGGACTTGTTTTCTGAGCACTTGTTCCAACCCTGCTGATCAAACAGGATCTGGTCAAAACAGGATGTTTAAAGAAACTGAACAAAACCAGCTAAAACCAAGATGGCAACAAAAGTGACCTCAAGTTGTCCTCACTGCTTGTTATACGCTAGTTATAATGCACTACATGCTAAAAGACACTCCCACCAGCACTATGACAGTTTATAAATGCAATGGAAATGCCCAGAATTTACTTTATATGGTTTAGAAGGGGAGGAACTCTTGGTTCCAGGAGCTCCTCACCCCTTCTCTAGAAAATGTGTGAATACCCTGCCCCTTATTTAGCATATAATTAAGGCATAGTTATAAATACAGCTAGCCAGCAATCCACAAGTGCTACTCTGCCTATAGGGCAGCCCTGCTGTGTTTGTGGAGCAGCCATTTTCCTATACTCTGTTGCTATAATAAACTTGCTTTGATTTCACTTTATTTTGTTGGCATGCTCTTGAATTTTTTCCTATGTGAAGCCAAGAACCCACCTGGGCTGAGCCCTAATTTTGGGGTTCACCTGTGTCATTGATGGTAGGATGGGAAGACATGGAAGGTATGTATAGGAGTGTATGTTGAGGATGTAATATGAAAGAGACCCAAATGGCCATCTTCCAGAGTTGGAAGTCCATAGCAAATGCCTAAAGCTTAAAAAGATCAAGAAATTACAATATAAGCATGTTATTTAGAGAAATGGAGATAGGTACTCAAAGCCTTCACTAAAAGAGTTGGCTGTTGTTGCTCCACATAGTGGTTAATGAGAGGTGGCTGACAGCCTGCCTTCTTTTTTGTAACAGGGCTAAAAACTGCACCAAACAGGAGCCTATTCTCTGTAATATTTTGTCTATGAAATTCTGGAAGAATTCTTCTGACCTCATCACTATAGGACTTCATGCTCTGGGCCAGGGGTCACAAAATGGTGCCATAGTAGTGGGTTTTTTTATGACTCCCATAGTTTTATATTTTTAATAAAAATATTTGAATTTATTGAGAACAATTACAAATCAGGAGATTTACAGGAAAATACCAATTTCTAATTTCCCTTGAAAGAAATCAGAAGATTCATGAAAACAAATGCCTGCCCAACAACAGCAGCTGACTGACACGGGGACAGAGCTGTGCCCCTCAGGCAGCCAAAGGCCCCACCTGGTACTCACCTGCTCCCCACCTTCCCCCACTGGCGTTTTTGGTTACGTGCCTGGCCTCTGTAGGCATTTGCATACAGGTGTCAAAATACTGCTTTTCCTACTTCACCTTTTGGAAGCACTATAAGGGATTTTTTTCTCTCTTTTCCTCCCCATTAATTTTCTATTCCTTCATAAGACAAGTATTATGCAATCTATTAGGGATAGTGTAGCAGAGAGAGTTCAGTCACTGCAGTGAGAAAGAACCAGTTACGAATCCAGATTCTACCAAGTTCTGTGACTGTGAGCAAGCCACTTAATTTCACTGTACCTCAGGTTCCTTTTGAGTTGAATGGGTCATATAATTGTTGTTGCAAGGGTTAGGCATGATAATTTTCATGAAGTTGATTGCCCACTCCATTGTTAAAAGCCACAACACCTAAAGCAAATTATTAAATAGATAATAGATTTGATTAAATATCTTCAGGCAGATGTAGGTATTCCCAAAAGTTTTTTCATCTCTAAGAGACAAGACAAGATTCTGATCATCTAAGGGTCTTGGCCCATGGCTGTTCAATGCTGTGAGTGGGTATAGTCTAATTGTTTAAGTAAGTTGATTTATTGGGGAAAAGAGAATGCTGAAGTTTAAAGTTTCAAGCCTAGAACCCATGGACCCTTTAGTTAATCAGTTTCCACAAATATTTACCAAGGGTCTCCTGGGTTTCAGACACTTTAATGGGCTTCAAGTAAGGTACATGTTGTTGTTGTTGTTGTTGTTTGAGATGGAGTTTCGCTCTTGTTGCCCAGGTTGGAGTGCAGTGGCGCGATCTCGGCTCACTGCAACCTCTGCCTCCCGGGTTCAAGCAATTCTTCTGCCTCAGCCTCCCGAGTAGCTGCGATTACAGGCATGCGCCACCACGCCCGGCTGATTTTGTATTTTTAGTAGAAATGAGGTTTCTCCATGTTGGTCAGGCTGGTCTCGAACTCCCGACCTCAGGCAATCTGCCCGCCTTGGCCTCCCAAAGTGCTGGTATTACACACGTAAGCCACCGCGCCTGGCCAGTACATGCTTTTTTCTAAGAGGAACTCAGAGTTTAATGAAAAATGCTTATTTATAAAGAGACATATGACTAGTTGTGGCAGTAAGAATTTAGAAAAGAGGGAGACTTTTTAACTGTGTGATTCTATACGTTCTAGAATGTGCTCCTGGATGTTGTCAGGACTTACTTCCTGGGCTTTCTGCAGAATAGGATCAGCAGTTATCGATTCACAAAGGGTCAGAAGATTGCTTTATGTGGCCCTATATTTCACAGAATTTTAGAGTTGGCATCTTTAAAATAATAACAGGGAAAATGCTGGGCCATCCGCAGATGTTCAACAAATTCTTAGAATATGTAAGCAGGAAGTCAATTTCATCAACTCCGATCCATCAAAAATGATTTCAAATAAGAAGGGCGGCGCTGAGAGACTGAGTGACTAGGTTAAGGTTACACAGCTTGCTAATCAAGCAAGGAGTGCACAGAAATGACTAGTCTATTGTAGGGAGGAGAAGAAAATATCTTTCAGATTTGCCCTGGAAAGAGAGAGAAAAGATCTTCCACTGCCTTCTCTATGGTGATGGCTGGTGTAAGGAACACCTGCATCCTACCTAAGTATTTAACTTGAGACACGTGAATCCTTTCATTTATTAACAAATATTTGGGCTGGGCAAGGTGGTTCACGCCTGTAATCCCAGCACTTTGGGAGGACCAAGGCGGGCAGATCACGAGGTCAGGGGATCGAGACCATCCTGGCTAACACTGTGAAACCCTATCTCTACTAAAAAATATACAAAAAATTAGCCAAGCGTGGTGGCAGGCGCCGGTAGTCCCAGCTACTTGGGATGCTGAGGCAGGAGAATGGCGTGAACCCAGGAGGCAGAGTTTGCAGTGAGCTGAGATCGTGCCACTACACTCCAGCCTGGGCGACAGAGCGAGACTCCGTCTCAAAAAAAAAAAAAAATTGTGGAGTGCCTACCTGTGCCAGGTACGGTTCTGCAAAGCCCTCTGCCCAGCAAAACAGAGCAAGAGACTGGCTCTCATGGAGCCTGCAGTCTAGCAGGGCTGGTGGCAGAGGCAGCTGGGGCCAGCCACAAACAAGGGATGCAATAAATATCACGGTACTGTGTATAGCATGGTACGAGGTGGCAGGTGCCATTGGAAAAAGTCAAGTAGAGCAGGCACAGTGGATGTTATGGGTTTCTGTCCAGACCTCCTCTTCAGGATGAAGATATCCCCATCCCCGAGCTGCTGGGATATCGGTGGCTGGTGAATCACAGCTGCCTCCCTCAGCTTCTGGAAACAGTCTTGCTTACAGTTATGCCTTTCCCAGGGTGAAGCCCATGACCAAGTCTGCCTGACCTGGGATATAAGGCCCAGCCCCTTTCCTCAACTGGAGACACTCTAGGGCCTTCCCAGCTCCAGAGCTCCCTGTAAGGCTGGCTCAGTCCTCAGTGGCAGCCAGCCAACCACATGGGGTGCCGGCTTCTCTCTCCCGATCCTGCCTTCCCAGCTTCCTCACAGGTGTGTGCTCCCTGAGCACCCCCCAAGAGCCTGCTGCATGCCTCTCTCTCGGTCTCAGCCTTTTGTTCCAGGGAACACGATCCTAGACAGCAAGATAAGAAGATCAGGAGGGAGAGGACGACAGCTTGCCTATTTTAAACAGCACGGCCATTGTAAACCTCATTGGGAAGATAACGTTTGGGAAAAGCTTGAAGTCATGAGAAAAATTTTAAATTGATAAAAACATAATTTAAATGTTTCTGTTGCTTTTGTCTTTGGTTGCTTATGGTGAAAAACCAAGGCAAATGTCTCTTTTATCAGGAAAATACATTAATGGGCTTAAAACATAATGTGAATGAAGAGATTGAAGCCTAGCAAGGTATATGGCTCAGCACAAAAGAAGGAGAATTCTGTGATTCCCCTCTGGCAGCCCTAAAGAGAAGGGGCTGGGGCCTCCAGAGGGAAGAAGGTATAGGGCAACAGTACTTGAGAGAGGTGAGGACCCCAGCAATCTGATAAGAGGCCTGGACCCAGTGCCAAGAAATTGGCAATGATTTCTAGGAACTAGAGGTCTGATATTCTATTTCGAGTTTCTCCCTGTACTCATGCATTGGCCATCATGCATAATGCCACATCATCTTGGGGAATCTGGTGGGAAGAGAGGTGCTTTGTTTGCACCAGGTTATTATGAAGAGAGGGCAGAGGCCTAAGGCTCTCCAGCACCAAGCTGGAGTCAGGTGTTGTAGCAAGAGGCAACGCAAAAAACTGCCTGGACCAGACCCTCCCTGGATGGTTAATATTGGGACTGCTGGTCTCTGTGCCGTCCTGTGAGATTATAGCGTGCATATATTTAATTGACTATTAAAGGAAGAGGAGCGCCATATGGCTGTAAAACCTGGGGAGATTTAGGTTACAAAAGAAGCATGCTCATTTAGAAATCTTACACATTCAGAGGTATTATCCATCTCTAGCAATAGCAGAGTGAAATAAACATATTTAAGTAATGGCAACAGCAACAAGGAAGACTTTTAAGCACACTTTCAAATTTTGCATTGAGAAACGTGGTGAGACCTTTCAACTTTCTGTTTCAAAATCCAAATGTATTCTGATGAAAGCTCTTTATTCATGAAAATTTTTGTGCATGTGACTAGGATTTTACTCTACACATCTCAGACAAAACTCCTTTCATTCCACCTGCCATTGGGCAATGCTCTCCAAGGGGAGGAGGAAGCTCCTTCCAGAGTCCTGCCAGACATCAGCACAGGCCCTGGGGCAAGAACTGGTCACCTCTGCCTGTGCTGGGTGGAGAGCAGAGGAGTTGGATGAGGAGGGACATCAAATTTAAGGAACAAAATCAATTGACCCTGTTTTGGTGCTAACTTTTCCTTGGCTGGTATTCTATGTCCAGAGAAGCAAATGGGGTGGTCCTGTACCTTTCCCAAATGGTCTCTCCTCCTCCTCCTCCTCTTTCTCTTCCTCCTCCTTCTTCTTCTTCCTTTTCCTCCTCCTCCTCTTCCTCTTCTTCCTCCTCCTCTTCCTCCCTCCCTTCCTCCTTCTCCTTCTTCTTCCTCCTCCTCTTCCTCCCTCCCTTCCTCCTTCTCCTTCTTCTTCCTCCTCCTCTTCCTCCCTCCCTTCCTCCTTCTCCTTCTTCTTCCTCCTCCTCTTCCTCCTCCTCCCCTTCTTCTCCTTCTCCTTCTTCTTCTTCTTTTTTGAGATGGAGACTCACTCTGTCACCCAGGCTGGAGTGCAATGACACGATGTCAGCTCACTGCAAACTCCGTCACCTGGGTTCAAGCGATTCTCCTGCCTCAGCCTCCTGAGTAGCTGGGATCACAGGCATGTGCCACCATGCCCAGCTAATTTTTGTATTTTTAGTAGAGACGGGGTTTCACCATGTTGGCTAGGCTGGTCTGAAACCCCTGACCTCAGGTGACCCCCCAACCTCAGCCTCCCAAAGTGCTAGGATTACAGGCGTGAGCCACCGCGCCCTGCCCAAATGGTCTTTTCTTATCTGAGTTCCATTCTTTAAAAGTAAACTTAAAAAAAAAAAAAGCCTCTTATCATGAAGACGTATGTGGGCAGGTAGAAAGGATTTTACAGGATACTTTTTGTAATGCTTCCATACAATATAAAATTTAACATCTTAACCATTTTCCAGCATATAGTTCAGCAGCGTTAAGTACATTCATGCTGTTGTGCAACGAGCACCACCATCCGTCTCCAGAGCTTTTTCATCTTCCCAAACTGAAGCTCTGTACCCATCAAACAATAACTCTCAGTTGCCCCTTCCCTCAACCCCTGGCAACACCCATCCTACCTTCTGTTTCTGAATTTGGCTCCTCTAGGAACCTTATATGAGTGGAATCATACAGTATTTGTCGTTTTGTGACAAATACTTATTGGCTTATTGCACTGAGTGTAATTTCTTCAAGGTTCATCCATGTTCTAGTATGTGTTAGAATTCTCTTCCTGTTTAAGGCTGAGTAATATTCCATCGTGTGGATAGATCACATTTTGCTCATCCATTCACCTGTTGAGAAAAACTTGGTTTGCTTCCACTTTGGACTATTGTGAATAATGCAGCTATGAACAAGTGTGGACAAATCCCTGGAACAGTTTTTGTAATTTGCTTTTACTTCCCCAGGGCAACTTAGGACTTGACAGATTTTGAATATGAACTTACTTTCCTTCCTTGAGACTAGATAGATTTAAGATTAAGTGTTTTTAAAGGGGGCCTTTTCTTTGACTAAGTATCATAGAAAGTAATTTGGTGTCTGGTGCATGGTGCATTGCTTCTCTGAATGAATAATTCAGACATTTCAAAACACTAGTGGATTTGAAAATCAAATTCACACAGAGAGGGTGAGTTGTGAGAAAAGGATAGCATAGGCACCATGATTCAGGTTTGGGGTTCTACAGACTGACACCAAGAAATCAAATGAGAATAAATTACAATTCAGCTGTGAGTGTGCAACACACACACACACACACACATGGAAGCAGCTAGTTTAAAAGTCAGGAAAGCCCACAATTCTAGCTGCATTTTGTAGACTACCTTGAGGTTTGAGCTTTTACCTTATGGTAAGACAGGTGGAAGGAGTTGGGAATAAGGATCTGGAGAGTTGAACCTACTTGTGCTCTCCCACCTTGTTGCCTGATAGTGTACCTTAGATAGTTAATGGCAAGGCTTCCAATGGGCCAGATGAGGTTGCAGAGAATTTTCCATTTCACACTACAGACTGTCCTGTTGACCCAGCCAACAGTATCACAGATTAATGTCACTGGCCAATTGAGAGGACACTCAGCAGGCATGAGTGCTTAGGGCCTCTGGAGCCCAAGAGCCAAGAGCAGGACCCTCACCTCCTGGATGCCATGGCAGCTATCCTTTCCAGTGGCCTCTCGCAGGCTACATGGCCTCTCATTTTTGCTTTTCCTTACACATCTGCTCTTGTTTTTTCTCTCAACTGACTTCCTTTGTTTACTCACTTTGAATATAGCTCAATAATGCCACCAAGCTTGATTTTCCAATGCTACCTTTATTGACTATCGAGTTCATTGCATCTGCCAGTGGTGTCTGCATACCTCGGTTTGAAACTTTGAGCATCTCATTGACAAGCTTTGGAACTCATTGCCCAATCCAAGTCATCTAATACCCTGGGTGGATGGCAGTGGAAGGAAGGTAGGAAAGGTAGGAGGATGGTGGTGGGAGCCCTGTGGCGTGTAGGACTACCTACCCTTCTCCCTTTATTTTTTATTTATTTATTTTTTTTTTTTGAGAGGGAGTCTCCCTCTGTTGCCAGGCTGGAGTGCAGTGGCGCTCACTACAACCTCTGCCTCCCGGGTTCAAGGGATTCCCCTGCCTCAGCCTCCCGAGTAGCTGGGACTACAGGCACGCACCATCATGCCCAACTAATTTTTTTGTATTTTAGTAGAGACAGGGTTTCACCATGTTGGCCAGGATGGTCTTGATCTCCTGACCTCATGATCCACCTGCCTCGGCCTCCCAAAGTGATGGGATTACAGGCTTGAGCCACCATGCCTGGCCAGGACTACCTACCCTTCTTAGAGACGTCGGCTGGGAGCCAATAAACAAGTCTAGAGCACTGACTGAAAGCACGTTGGACGAAAGAACAAATTGGTTGAAAATGAAGAGAGAAACATCCATGCCCTCAGCTCACAACGTGGTCCTGTTTAGCTTCCATCCCTCCTTGTGTAATAGTGGCCCTCTAGACATGACTCACTCATTGGAGAGACTGTAAAACATCCATAGAAATAAATCATTGTGATTTTGTTGTTCTTTTATGGAAGGCCCTTGGTTACATTAATTAATTAGCCAGTTAATTAACTCATCAGCCTCCAAATGTGTGTTGAGCACTGACTATGTGCCAAGCACTCTGCTTTGTCCCTTTTGCGTCAGTGTACAGAGGCTCTTAGAGTGCTGGCTACATTTAGCTTGGGAACTAAGACAAGAGTCCCGACACCTGGTAAGAGTTTACCTGTCTCCCAGGGACTCTCTAGGAGCTTTTATATGTTATCATTTTTAATCCCCTGGCAATTCCAAGTGCTAAGTATCATATTTTCCTTGTTGTAGGAATAAATCCGAGGCTCAGAAAGGTAAATAGCTTGCCCAAGTCACACAACCAGCAAGTGACCATGAGTGATGCCCTAGATGGCCTTTGGCAAAATTTGTGCTTTTGGTACTCCACAACCCTTGGCAAAGCTATGAATAGAGGTGGATGTGCTAGAGACGTTTGATTGAAACATACACCCTGTAGGTAGGTCTGTAACTCCCTGAAATAAGTATAACCCAGATATGTCCATTTTAAAGTGAATTTTTAAAAATACTGGCTGGGCACGGTAGCTCATGCCTGTAATCCCAGCACTTTGGGAGGCCGAGTCGGGTGGATCACCTGATGTCCGGGAGTTCGAGACCAGCCTGGCCAACGTGGTGAAACCCCATCTCTACCAAAAATACAAAATTAGCTAGGCATGGGGGCACATGCCTGTAATCTCAGCTACTCGGGAGGCTAAGGCAGGAGAATTGCTTGAACCCAGGAGGCACAAGTTGCAGTGAGCGGAGATCGAGCCTTTGCACTCCAGCCTGGGCGACGAGAGCGAAACTTCATCTCAGAAAAAAAAAAAAAAAAATACTGTGCCACTCTAATGATTTATCTGGAAGGAACAAGGGAAAGGGGTTCCTTTCTGATTGTTTCTAATTGTTTCCATTTTCTTGATGCATCCTAAAACAACAATGATATGTTCCATGCCTGTGTCCCTACCAAATCTCATGTCGAATTGTAATTCCCAATGTTGGAGGTGGGTGGGAGGGCCTGGTAGGGGGTGTTTGGTTTATGGGGGCAGATCTGGAAAGTAAAACATGGAAATGTGCCTGAAAAAAAACAACAGTATTCTATCTTTTAAAAAATTAGAGAGTTTACACTGGTTAAAAAAATTAATTTATTGGCCGGGTGTGGTGGCTCATGCCTGTAATCCCAGCAGGGAGGCCAAGGTGGGTGGGTCACTTGAGGTCAGGAGTTCAAGACCAGCCTGGCCAACATGGTGAAACCCCGTCTCTACTTAAAAAAATACAAAAATCAGCTGGGTATGGTGGTTGGTGAGTGCCTGTAATTTCAGCTACTTGGGAGGCTGAGGCAGGAGAATTACTTGAACCCGGGAGGTGGAGGTTGCAGTAAGCAAAGATCGTGCCACTGCACTCCAGCCTGGAAGACAGAGTGAGACTCCATCCCCCCCTCCAAAAAAAATTATTTATTTAAAATTTTCTTTTAAAATTCTTGGAATGAGTGATCGATGAACATTTGAACATTATGTTAAATTCATCTTGGTCTTATAATTAAATTACCTTTGTTATCACCTCCTTTGTTCTTAACAGGAAATTATATTCTCCATGCTTTCTCTGTCTGAATTTTCCCTAGTTTTCGGTTCTATCAATTTATTTAAAACTATTTTCATATTCTCTCTTACACATGAAGATACACAGGATTTAAAAATAATTTAGTAGTTTTAAAAAAATCTGAGAGTAAATTAGAATGTTAAAAAGAATTTTTCATGTTGGTATTCTCAATTCAATTAGTAAAATATGCCTATAATATTTCCTAATCCAAAATAGTTATAGATTAACTGTCTTGAAATTTCAGTATGACTGGAATGAACTTCACAACCTGAAGACAGCTAAGGTTGCAAAGCTGGCACTCAAACCTCAGTGAGGCTTGGGTTCTTGTCAACTCCTGAGTCAGCACTGGAGGTGCAGATGGTCACTTGTACAGGACTAATTGTTTCTCTCTGCTGCAAGATACGCAGAACCTTTAAATGCCGGAATTAATACAGGGTTTTTAAAGAAAAGTTGGAAAATACAAGTTGAAAGGAGAAATAAATCTCTGCTAGCAGGAGGCAAGAAGCCCTAACTGTTTCTGACATGGCTCAGAAGACCCTGCACCTGGATGGCCGCACCACCTCACGCTGTCCAAGAGAGGTATGCCCTGGCCAAAGGCTTCACTCACTTCCCAGTCTGTCACGAAAAAGAACCGCATGTTTTCCTCTAACACAAAGGTCAGCAAATTACAGCCTGTGGGCCACCTGTGTGTATAAGGCCCATGAACTAAGAACAGTTTTCTTACTTTTAAATGGTTGGAAAAAAATCAAAAGAAGAATATTTTATGAAGATAGAAATTATCTGAAATTCAAATTTTAGCGTTTATAAACAAAGTTTTTTAAAATTTTTTTATTTTATTTTTTTGAGATGGAGTCTCGCTCTCTCTCTCAGGCTGGAGTGCAGCGGTGCGATCTTGGCTCACCGCAAACTCTGCCTGCCAGGTTCAAGCATGCCCGGCTATTTGTATTTTTAGTAGAAACAGGGTTTCACCATGCTGGCCAGGCTGGTCTCGAACTCCTGACCTCGTGATCCGCCCGCCTCGGCCTCCCAAAGTGCTGGGATTACAGGCGTGAGCCACCGTGCCCAGCCTATAAATAAAGTTTTATTGGAACACAGCTGCGTTTGGTCCTTGGCTTGGCTCCTGTTAAGGGCCTCAGGGAGCCTCCAATCATGGCAGAAGGTGAAGGGGGAGCAGGTGTCTCACACGGCAGGAGCCAGAGCAAGAGAGAGAGTTGGGGTGGGAGGTGTCACACTGTACAACAACCAGATCTTGGGAGAACTCATTCACTATTGTGAGGATCGCGCCATGCCATGAGGGATCTGCCCGCATAACCCAAACACCTCCCACCAGGCCCCACCTCCAACATTGGGAATTAGAACTCAACATGAGATTTTGTAGGGGCACAGACACAAACCTTATCAATGTTGTTTTAGGATGCATCAAGAAAATGGAAACAATCAGAAAGGAACCCCCTTCCCTTGTTCCCTCCAGATCTCCTGGTCTACCCACATCTATGCCAGTTCTTTCTGGTCTTTTCTCCTGCTATGATGGATGAAATTTCCCTGCTTCTATCAAGGCCAAATCCTACCTTCTCTGGATTCCATCCTGCTTGCTTTTCAGTAATCTCTCTTCTTTTTCTCTCTTTCCTCCACCATCTCTTTTATCCTTTCTACTAGATCATTCTTACCAATATTCAAGTGTGCTCTGAAATCATTCCCTAAAATAATTCTCCCTTGACCCAGCTGGCACAGCTCTAGCTCTGGCCTGTTTCTCTGATCTGCTCCAAGGGTCACTCATGTGTGTCATCTATGGTCACTGAACCCACTGCCTCCCCTCCCATTCTTCTCACTCTTACCACTCCACTGAACCTGATCTTGTAAGGGTCACCGTGTTGCCAAAACCAGAGGAAGCTTCTGTCTTAGTCTGTTTTGTGTTGCTATAAAGGAATATCTGAGGCTGAGTAATTTATAAAGAAAGAAGGTTTATTTGGCTCACAATTCTAAGAGCTGGAAAAGTTCAAGATTGGGCATCAGCTGTGGGCATCAGGCTCATGGCGGAAGGTGAATGGGAGGGGAATGTGCAGAGATCACATGGCACATGAGGAAGCAAGAATGGGGGAGGTGCCAGGCTCTTTCCAACAGCCAGCTCTCTCTGGAACGAATAGAATGAGAACTCCCTCACCCCAAGGGGGGCATTAATTAGAGGTTCACACCAAGACCCAAACACTTCCCACTAGGCCACACCTCCAATATTGGGGATAAGTTTCAGCATGAGGTTTGGAGGGGACAATTATCCAAACCATAGTAACTTCTCACTATTTCTCAAACTTTCAGCAGCATTTCATACCATTACTGTTTTCTTTTGTCTTAAATTTTTTCTCTTGGTTTTGGCATGCCATACTCGCCTAGCTTTCCTTCTAATTCACTATCTTTCTTTCTTTCTTTCTTCCTTCCTCCCTCCCTTCCTTTTTCTCTATCTTTCTCTTTCTTCTTTTAGGGACAGCTTCTCATTCTGTCATCCAGGTTGGAGTTCAGTGGTGTGATCTTGGCTCACTGCAGCCTCAACCATCTGGGCTCGAATGATTCTCCCACCTTAGCCTCTCAATTAGCTAGAATTCCAGGCACATGCCATCATGCCCAGCTAGTTAAAAAAAGATTTTGTGTAGAGACAGGATCTTGCCCAGGGTGGTGTTCAACTCCTGGTCTCTAGTGATCCTCATGCCTCGGCCTCCCAAAGCACTGAGATTACAGGTGTGAGCCACTGTGCCTGCTGTCATTTCTTTACTGGCTCTTTCTCCTGAGCCCAGTCTCTAGTTCTGCTGTGGGATGCCTTTCTTCTCTGTGTAGTCTGTCTACATTGTTCCATACTGTATCTTGCTTTAAAAGCCATCAACATGCAAGTGACTTCCAAAATATTTCCAGCCCTGATGCTTCCCTGACAGGCAGACTTCAGAGCCTCTTGACTCCTTACTTGACATCCTCACTGGGATATCTAACAGGCATTTCAAACATAAAATTGTCTAAACAGAACTCTTAATTTTCCACCACACACTGCATGTTCTCACTCATAGATGGGAATTGAACAATGAGATCACTTGGACACAGGGCGGGGAACATCACACACCGGGGCTTGTCGGGGAGTTGGGGGCTGGTGGAGGGATAGCATTAGAAGAAATACCTAATGTAAATGATGAGTTGATGGGTGTAGCAAACCAACATGGCACATGTATACCTATGTATCAAACCTGCACGTTGTGCACATGTACCCTGGAACTTAAAGTATAATAATAAAAAATTCCACCACAAACCTGTTCCTACACGAGTCCTTTTCAGCTTGATGAGTGGAACTACGATACAGTTGTTGAGGCCAAAAATCTAGGAGTCATAAGAGATTCTTCTCTTTTGATTCAGTATTCCCATCTCTCCTCCACCCCAAATCTGGTTCATCAGCAATTCATGCCAGTTCTACCCTCAAAAAATTACCTGAATCCATCTCCATGGTTGCCACCCTAGCCCATGCTCTATCCTGCACATCTGGCCCTAGCGGGGTACTCTGGTCTCTCCCTCCACCCTTGCACCTGTCCCTTGCTTCTTCCCGGGGCCTCTCCAAACACACCTTCTACCACACTCTCCCTGCTCACTGCACTCCAACCTGTGCCCATTCCTCCACCATGCCAAGCCCACTCCTATCTTGGGGCTTCTCATTGTTCGCATTTTCTGTGAGAGTTCTTCCCTCAACACCCAAACTAAAGCAGACCCTTTCCCCATAGCCCTTTGTAAATTTTCTTAAGATCATCACTCTACAAATATATCTTATTGATGAGTTCTGTACTTGTGTTTTGTTTTTCTCTTCCAGAATGTAAAAAGCAGGAACTTCTGATGTATCCCTGACTCCTACGATTGTCTTTGCTTTTAATCAGTACTTTAAAAATTGATTTATTTTAGTTCCCAGCATATTTTTTCTTTTTCTGTGCAAAATATTTTCCCATATTGTTTACATAAGTTTTGAGAGGTGACAGCGTGCTGGCAGTCCTCACAGCCCTCGCTCCCTCTCGGCGCCTCCTCTGCCTGGGCTCCCACTTTGGCAGCACTTAAGGAGCCCGTCAGCCCACCGCTGCACTTTGGGAGCCCCTTTCTGGGCTGGCCAAGGCTGGAGCTGGCTCCCTCAGCTTGCAGGGAGGTGTGGAGGGAGAGGCGCGAGCGGGAACCGGGGCTGCGCGCGGCGTTTGAGAGCCAGCTAGAGTTCCGGGTGGGCGTGGGTTTGGCGGGCCCCGCACTTGGAGCAGCCGGCCAGCGCTGCCGCCCCCGACAGTGAGGAGCTTAGCACCTGGGCCAGCGGCTGCGGTGGGTGTGCTGGGTCCCCAAGCAGTGCCGGCCCACCAGCGCTGCCCTTGATTTCTCGCTGGGCCTTAGCTGCCTTCCCACGGGGCAGGGCTCGGGACTGCAGCCCGCCATGCCTGAGCCTTCCCCCGCCTCCATAGGCTCCTGTGCAGCCCCCGCCTCCCCCAACGAGTGCCACCCCCTGCTCCACGGCGCCCAGTCCCATCAACCACCCAAGAGCTGAGAAGTGTGGGCACACGCCAGGGAACTGACAGGCAGCTCCACCTGCAGCCCCAGTGCGAGATCCACTGGGTAAAGCCAGCTGGGCTCCTGAGTCTAGTGGGAACTTGGAGAACCTTTACGTCTAGCTAAGGGATTGTAAATCACCAATCAGCACTCTGTCTCTAGCTCAAGGTTTGTAAACACACCAATCAGCACCCTGTGTCTAGCTCAGGGTTTGTGAATGCACCAATCAACACTCTGTATCTAGCTACTCTGGTGGGGACTTGGAGAACCTTTGTGTCCACACTCTGTATCTAGTTAATCTAGTGGGGATGTGGAGAACCTTTGCGTCTAGCTTAGGGATTGTAAACGCACCAATCAGCACTCTGTCAAAACAGACCACTCGGCTCTCTGTAAAATGGACCAATCAGCAGGATGTGGGTGGGGCCAGATAAGAGAATAAAAGCAGGCTGCCCCCAGCTGGTTAGTGGGAACGTGTATCGGGTCGTCTCGCGCTTTGTGGGAGTTTTGTTGTTTTGCTATGTGGGACTATATTGCCTTTGTGAGCTATGACACTCCCTGCGAAGGTTTGTAGCTTTACTTTCGAAGCTAATATAAGCTGTTGAGCCTTGGTGGGAGGAAAAAGCTCCAAACGCACCACTTTAAGAGCTGTAATAGTTACCGCGAAGGTCCGTAACTTCATTGCTGAGGTATCAAGACCACTAAACCCACCTAGAAGAAAAACTCGGAACACACCCAAACGTAATAATGAAACAAAACTCCGGATACGCCACTTTTAAGAACTGTTACTACCGCGAGGGTCTGAGGCTTCCTTTTTGAAGTCAGACTAAGAACCCACCAATTCCAGACAGTTTTATGTTTAACTCAATATGGTTGTTTTTTTCGTGTTTAACTGTATACACAAATGTTTTAATTGCATGATACGTGCTCTGGTTTCCTTTGGTTTACTTCCCTGTGATCTGTCACTTAGGTAATTACTAATTTTTCACAGTTGTGGGCGACATGCTGATTTTTGTGCAAGGGTGCGTGTGTTCTGTCTGTACTACTGGAAACTGGAGTTCCATGACACCGCAGCATACTTCTAGGGTCTTGCACACCTGGTCTGGCTTCAGTAAGGGAATAAACCAAGTCTAGAGTGCAATTAGCGTTTGAATTAGTGACATGAGGATAAACAGGTGATTATCCCATCTAATAGCTGTTGAATGGTGTTAGAGATACTATCAGACCGCTTGAGCTTCAAACGTAGGGGTTTATTGACGATTAAGAAAGGACTATGGGACTATTGGTTTAAATAAATGAAAATAGGGTTTCCAAAATGAAGTTATTTCTAAGTGCTTTAAACCAACTGATTCCAACTTCTAAAGTTGCTTAAAAGGTGAAGAGCAGAAATCACATTTGTACTTCCTTTTGTCTGAAGCGCTCACAGTGTTAAGTATAGACATTCTTACACACTTTCGGTTAGGTGAAGAACACATAAAATTCAGTAACTGCATTTTGCCCACGGGGAGACCAAGTCAGAACTCTCTACAGACTTCCACAGAGGTCACAATCAGACACTGAAGAGACAAAATTAGAACTCAGTGTTCTGGGCTTTAGAAGGATCAGCTTCTAAAACCAACACTTTTTCTCTCTGAAATCTATATTGAGATTTTTAGAGTTAGCAACAGGTGAGAACATTTTTATTGATGTTTGGCTTCACAGTTTTAATTACCTGTTTTGGATTAGAGCTTGTGGGAGTCTGCAGTCTGAGTTGGTGGGGACCTGATGGAATATATTACAGCTGCTATTTTCATAAAAGTTTATGCTTAACTTTTTTTGCCTTAAGTTTTGGGTTCGTGGATTTAGGGTCAACACAGGATTACAACGGTCTAGGTTTTCCAGAATTGCCACAAAATTCAGTAAAACTTTCACTGAGCCACCCTTCTTGGTGAAGAAGTAAAACCTTAGCAAAAGAAATGCTGGGAAGAGTGTGACTTTGATAAATGCAAATATGACTTTCTTCCATGTACGTGTGTAGCACTGAAACAAATTTGGTCTATTCCTTTAAACATATACAGTACAAATGTTTTTCCTTTCAAACAAATAGAAATCATTACCCTTTACTGATTTTAGATAATTCACAAAATGAGTTCTGTTTACCAATCAAGTAACTCATGCTGGTGTTTATATCTGAGGGAAAATTAGTGAACTCACATGTCTGGCTAGCCTGGCCTCTGATTTGCATATATGTAAATCAGTCCCTTTCATTTTTTTCATGATCAGCCTGCTAGTCCAAGGGTTAGATCATCCTGAACAGTAAGCTGGCACTTTATTTGCTTGTAAGAGAGAACTTATACATCTGCTATACAATCTGCTATACGTTTTTGGAGGCGATGATGAGCAGTGAGGAGGAGGGCAAGGACTGGCTTATGGTGGATTACACAGACTTACTGTATATATGGCCCAGATGCTACGTGGAAGACTTACACAAAAATTCCTTGTTTTTGTGAAGGTTAGACTTAACTAGGCATCTGTATTTTTTGTTTGCTAAATCAAGTTAGCTAAGCAGGTTAGTGCTGGCCACTCTTTACTGGCCAGGCGTCCTGGGGGGGTCTTCCCAGCAAGCTCTACAGAAGCAGCGCGGCTCTTCTCTCGTGGGTGTGGATCTTGAGATGGGCGCGCTGCTCTGATGCGGTGCTGCGTCTCCCTTCAGGAAGAAGATGGGAATCGTACCAGTTCACAGAGATCTTCCTGGTCCTCAGTTAATACAGAATATTAATGAAACTTATCACTTTAAATGAACCCAGGTAGCCGCCCTTGTCATCTTAACTACCAACGAATGTCTTCAGGCCGTTAAGACAGGGCAAAGGGGTGAGAGGATCGGGTGGGGCGAGAGGAAAGCCTGGCCCGTGCGGGGGTCAGACCTTCATTCTGCCGTCAGCTGTGCTGGAGACTCTCAGCAAGGGAGAGACGTGGCGTCTCTGAGTGGTTTTTGCCCTAAAGGATGCTTACGGTCATAGGAAGCTTTTCCATGTGTTTCCTTCATGGGTGTCTACGGCTTTTGTTTTCAGCTGCGCTTTGCACAGGGGCTGGAAGGCTAACTCCCCAAAAGGGAACTTCCTCTCCTTCTAGAAACTGACCCCTGGTGGTTGCTATAGCAACTGCAAAGCGAGAATAATGAGCTGTGTAAACAAGCCCCATTCCCAGTACTGGGGCGTTGCTAGCCCTCCTTAGAGAGGGCGAGGGAGAGGAGGATGCTGTGCCTGGAAAGCGGCTCTTGAGGAGAGCTGGAATCTCGGCAAAGCGTCCACTCCCTCCCCTCCCCTTTCCTCTCACCTCTAGTGTTCCCACCAGCCCCGGGGAGGAGACAAAGGACGTGGGAGGGCAGCAGCATGCAGGGGGCCTGCCTTTGACGCCCAGGAGTTGAACACCAGACAGAAAATGAAATCTAAACATTTACCCAGAGCCCTGGGCTAGAAATGGGCCAACCTGACCCTGGAAAACAAACAACCCGCGTCACCGCCACACCTGCTGCAGGCCCCAGATGCCACAGGTACTAGAGGAATGGGCTGCAAGGCCCTCAGCTACTCCCTGCTTTAGCAATTCAGGCAGAACTGCCTGAAGATTTCTGAGACCTCTGCTGCTTGCATCCATATTCGTTTTCTTTTTCTTTTTTTTTGGAAAGAAGGAAGATTGGAGAAAAGAACATAGTACCTAAGCGTTCTGTGATTATGAAGCTAAACACACACAGACACACACTGTTTTCCTCTCTGGGAACTTGGCTGCTGCTTGCAGGAAACTTTCTGCCCATAATAGCGAAGGTTCTAGTATTATTTTCAGTTTTCTTTGGTTAACTCTCTCCCACCCTCACTCAGGTCTCTTTATTTTTTAGAAACAGGGTCTCACTCTGTCACACAGGCTGGAGTGCAGTGGTGCAATCACAGCTCACTGCAGCCTCAACCTCCCTGAGCTCAGGTGATTCTCCCACCTCAGCCTCCCTATTAGCTGCGACTACAGGCGCATACCACACCACACCTGGCTAATTTTTGTATTTTTTGTACAGATGAGGTTTTGCTCTGTTGCCCAGGCTGGTCTCAAACTCCTGCACAAGCAATCTGCCTGCCCTGGCCTTCCAAAAGTCCTAAGATTTCAGGTGTGACTCACCGCGCCCAGCCTCAGGTTGCCTTAAAGAAAAGTTTCTGTATATTAAATATAAACTATATGATGCACAACTTCCCTGTAAGCCTCCTAAAAAGATGATCCAAGTAAATTGGTGGGATGGATGGAAATCCCATATTGTTTCAGTCTTCAACAGTGCTGGTACAGGTTCTCATTTCTTTCCATGAATATCAGTGTTAGTCAGTGTGATAGGAAATCTAGTATAATGAACTACTCTTATAAAATCATTTTTATTTCACTTGTAACTTTTTAGAATGTTCATACATCTATTATTTCAATAGGTTCTTACAAAAATCCCCCAAATCTTGTAGGGCAAATTATATCTTTAATTCTTCAGATGAGGACACTGACATTAGGGAGATTAGATGATTCTATTATAGGGAAATTCGATGGTTCTTTTACAGAGAAATTAGATGATTCTACTACAGGGTCAAAAATTTAGGGTATAAAAGGATTTATCAAGGCATGAGTTACTATTATTTCCAAGATATCAAGTCCCCTGTATTTATATGAATCTAGATAGCAAAGAACATTTTTTTCTTTTCTTTCTTTTTTTTTTTTTTGAGACAGAGTCTCACTCTGTCACCCAGGCAGGAGTGCAGTGGCACGATCTTGGCTCACTGCAACCTCCGCCTCCCAGGTTCAAGTGATTCTCCTGTCTCAGCCTCCCGAGTAGGTGGGATTACAGGAGCCCACCTCCTCACCTGGCTAATTTTTTGTATTTTTAGTAGAGACAGGGTTTCATCATGTTACCCAGGCTGGTCTCGAACTTCTGACCTCAGGTCATCCTCCTGCCTTGGCATCCCAAAGTGCTGGGAATACAGGCGTGAGCCACTGCGCCTGGCCAGCAAATAACATTTCTATAAGCTATATTTTACACATAAACTATAAAGCCTATGTTTACAGAGCATTTTCCTTCAATACATTCAAATATATTCTACCTCGTATTACTCTTTCATTATCTTTTCATATAGGTGACCAGATCATAGTGTTGCCTGGTTTCCACTTTGTTATCTGACATTAAAATATTGTCCTCATTTTCCTTTCAAGCCACATTAACAGCTATTGCAAAGGCTGGTCTGCTGCAAATGTATTCCTCTTAGAAAGAAAAAGTGACAGCCAGGCGTGGTGGCTCATACCTGTAATCCCAGCACTTCAAGAGGCCAAGGCCGGGGGATCACTTGAGGTCAGGAGTTCGAGATCAGCCTGGCCAACATGGTGAAACCCCGTCTCTACTAAAAATACAAAAAATTAGCCAGGTGTGGTGGCGCGCCTGTAGTCCAGCTACTTAGGAGGCTGAGGCAGGAGAATCCCTCCAGCCTGGGAGGCAGAGGTTGCAGTGAGCAGAGACCATGCCATTGTACTTCAGCCTGGGCTATAAGAACAAAACTCTGTCTCAAAAAAAAAAAAAAAAAAAGAAAAAAGAAAGAAAAAGTGACAGACATCATGATAGTTCTTGCTTTTTCCACAAAATTTCTTCTTTTTCTTCTTTCTACCTTTGAAATTAAGTTCTAGGTCACAGCATTTGTGGGTTTTCTGTAAGTGCCAAGCTCAATCCTGATGGTGGGTCATGCCTTTGCGAGATTTTAAATAAGATAAAAGGAAGGAAATCTGGGCTGGTGATGCTGTTTCCTCAGAGGAAATAAGAAAACGTATGAAAAGTAACTTTGGAGCCTACCCCATTCTTATAACTGTTCAATGGTGGAAAATGATGACAGCTTTCTTCTACTAAATGTAGCATGAGATTCCCAGGAATCCGTTAGGAGCAGCCTCTGTTAGGAGCAGCCTCTGTGGGTGGGATGGCTTGTAGAATCAAGAAATGCATTTATCTTAGCAGAACAAACTTGCAGTCTCCACCCCAAGACCAAGGGACTAAATTTTTTTTTTTTTTTTTTAGATGGAGTTTCGCTCTTGTCGCCCAGGCTGGAGTGCAGTGGTATGATCTTGGCTCATTGCAACTTCTGCCTCCCAGATCAAGTGATTTTCCCACCTCAGCCTCCCAAGTAGCTGGGATTACAGGTGCCCACCCAACACACCCGGCTAGTTCTTGTATTTTTAGTAGAGATGGGGTTTCATCATGTTGGCCAGGCTAGTCTCGAACTCCTGGCCTCAGGTGCTCCGCCCGCCTCGGCCTCCCAAAGGGCTGAGATTACAGGCGTGAGCCACTGTGCCCAGCCTGAGGGACTTGATTCTGATGGTATCTCGTCCCTCCCTTGGAACCTCAGAAGGTGCAAACTTTTATCAGCCTAATTTATATGCATGGATGCCTCTTCCCCCAGGTACAGGACAGTGGTGAGCTCTGAAGCCAAGACACCCCCCAGTCAGAAGAGCCAGTCCACTCTACAGAGATGAGGGATCCCCTGAACCTTTGGGTCTTCCACGTTGTATGGGGGAATGATTCCTTTCTTCTCCTTTGACATGAAAGCAGTAGGTTAAGTCCTTAGAGCAGAGAGAGAAAGAGACCATAAAATATTATTCCTGGAAAGAAACTCAGAGATAATTAATTGGAACTGCATTTGCCACATTCTAAATAACAGGATTCCTTCCATTGCTAAAACAGTCCGTATGGTAGGAGCTGTACCTTTATTTGCTCTAGACTAGAGCTGTCTAGTAGAAATACATTGTGAGCCATACATGTAACTTTAAATTTTCTAGTAGCCACATTAAAAAAAAAAAGTAAAAGGAAACAGGTGGTTTTCCATACAAGATATACAAATAGTCACTATGCACATGAAAAGACGCTCGATCCATCACTAATCATTAAGAAAATGCAAATAAATACCGTAATGAGATACTGCTTCATACCCATGGTTTCTCTGAATGGTTTCTATGAAAAACTTAAAAATAAATAACAGAAAGTAGTGTTGCTGAGGATGTGGAGAAATTGGAACCCTTGTGCACTGTCGATGGGAATGTAACATGGTGCAGCTGCTTTTGGTATATACCCAAAAGAAATGAAAGCTAGGGCTGCGCGCGGTGGCTCATGCCTGTAATCCCAGCACTTTGGGAGGCTGAGGCGGGCAGATCACAAGGCCAAGAGTTCAAGACCAGCCAGCCAACATGGTGAAATCCAGTTTTTACTAAAAATACAAAAATTAGCCAGACATGGTGACAGGCGCCTGTAATCCCAGCTACTTGTGAGGCTGAGGCAGGAGAATCGTTTGAACCTGGGAGGCAGAGGTTGCGGTGAGCCGAGATGTCACCACTGCACTCCAGCCTGGGCAACAGAGCGAGACTCCGTCTCAAAAATAAAAAAATAAAAAATAAAATAAAAGAAATGAAAGCTAGGACTCAAACAGACATCTGCACACTGTGTTCATAGCAGCATTATGCACAATAACCACCCTTAGTGGAGGCAACCCAAGTGTCTAACAACAGATGAATGGATAAACAAAATGTGGTCTATACAGAAAAAGGAATATTATTCAGCTTTTTAAAAAAAGGACATTCTGACACATGCTACACCAGGGAGGAACCATGAAGACAATGTTCAGTGAAATAAGCCAGTCACAATAGGACAAGTACTTTATGATCCCACTTACATGAATTACCTAGAGGAGTCAAATTTATAGAGACAGAAAGTAGAATGAAGAGTTATTGTTTAATGAACGTAGAATTTCAGTTCTGGATGATGAAAAAGTTCTGGAGATGAATGGTGGTCATGGTAGCACAACAATGTGGATGTACCTAACACTACTGAACTGCACACTTAAAATGATTAAAATGGTAAATTTTGGCCAGGCACGGTGGCTCACGCCTGTAATCCCAGTACTTTGGGAGGCCAAGGAGGGTGGATCATGAGGTCAGGGGTTGGAGACCAGCCTGGCCAACATGGTGAAACCCTGTCTCTACTAAAAATGCAAAAATTAACCAGGCACGGTGGTGGGTACCTGTAGTCCCAGCTACGCAGGAGGCTGAGGCAGGAGAATCGCTTGAACCCGGGAGGCAGAGGTTGTAGTGAGCCGAGAGTGTGGCACTGCACTCCAGCCTGGGTGACAGAGCGAGACTCTGTCTCAAAAAAAAGAAAAGGTAAATTTTATGATATTTGTATTTTATGATAATAAAAAAGGTGAATATAATTTTATACTATATGACATTTAACTCAATAAAATCAGAATATTATCAGTTCAACATATAATCAATGCTAAAAAATTATCGACATAGTTTACCTTATTTTTTTACACTATCTTCAAAATCCAGTGGTTTTTTCTTTTGCACTTTCAGTACATCCCAATGGCCACATGTCAAGTGCTCAAAGGGTACACGTTGCTAGTGGCTGCCATATTGGATGTACTGCTTTAGATAATGTTTAGCAGGAAGATAGCTTCAAGGACCCCCGATGGTTGTTCTTTCAACCCCAGGTCCCCAAAGGCCATGGGGTGAAACCTTGGTGACCATCAGTAAGACAGGAAAAACTGACTGTTTTTCCTTCTCTGTACTCTCTCTGACCACACAAATCACTTCTGTGACCAGATGTGTGGGTTTTTGGCACATTGACCAGTTCTCTGCCACCAACTGGGTGTCCCACAATACAATTCAATTCTGACACCATCTACCTGGAGATAGTGTCAGATCCCACAGATTAACGGCTTAGTCTCACAAGACTGCCCCCTACTTCTTGCAATTGTAGGTAGTAGGGCCCAGGTTACAAACAACTTCTGTCCAACTTGGCTGCAAATCTGAGGCTCCCACAGCCTCTTTCTCAGGTTCAATCATTTGCCAGAATGGCTCACAGCGCTCACGGCAAGGCTTTGCTTACTTTAACCCATTTATTATAAAAGGATACAGCTGAGGAACCGCCAGGTGGAAGGCAAGGTATGGGGGAGCGGCGAGGAAGTTCCATGCCCTCTCAGGTGTGCCGCCCTTCTGGCACACATGTGTGTTCTTATTCCTCAACCCGGAAGCCCCCCGAGCCCCAGAGTTCAGAAATTTTTATGGAGGCTTCATCATGTAGGAATGGTCAATTATTAACTCAATCTCCAGCCCCTCAGTCTCCCCAAAGGATGAGAGTTGGGATTGAAAGTTCCAAGCTTCTAATCATAGCTTGGTCTTGCTGGTGACCAGCCCTGACTCAGGAGCACACCAAGGGCCGCCTCATTAGAACAAAAGCACTCCTATCACCCAGGAAATTCCAAGGGATTTAGGAGCTCTATGTTGAGAACCATGTCAAAGACCAAACGTTAGAACAAAAGATGTTCTCCTATTGCTCAAGAAATCACAAAGTTTTGTTTGTTGGTTTGTTTGTTTGTTTGTCTTTCTTTTAGGAGTTCTGTTCCAGAAACCAGAGACATAGGCCAAAATACACATTTCTTATTTTAAATCACAATATATCACCATTGCACAGCCTGTGTGGTGTCTGCAGCCAGGCGGGGCTGCCTGACTTCCAAGCACCTTTCCCCTCCACAGGCTGAGAGACTTGCTCACGGCCCAGTGTCAGGACAGTCAGGATAAGACTAGACTGAGCTGGCTCCTGAGCCAGTATCTTTAGGTATGGTTTAGTAGCTAAGGTAGAATTCAGAACACAACTTGTAAGGTTCACGAATGGCTAACGGCTAAGTGAAAAAATGAAGTCCTTAAGAACTGGCGATAGAGAAGGCAAGGGATTTTATGGGGGGTATGAGTAGGGTTTGATGAGCAAAGTCCCAGACAAACTGGCATCCTTATCATTGTAAAAAATATAGACTTCCTAGCATGAGCCTTCTTACATAGCTTAGCTGTTGACAGATTCCTTCTTTCCTTCCTTCCTTCCTTCCCCCCTCCCTCCCTCCCTCCCTTTCTTCCTTCCTTATTCCTCCCTTTTAAGTGTATTTCATGGGCCTCTCTGTAAGGTGGCTATCTGTTGTGAAGTCTGAGGGGACTGGGTCCCCTCCCATCCCCCAGCCCCTGCTCTCTGGGAAGTCTGCTGGGTGTGCTGGGCCGGCTCCTGGACAAGCTGAAGCCGAGGACTGCAGCAACTCTTCCCATCATCACCCTGGCTGCTGTGGGGAAGCTGGCAGTTTTCTGGAAGACTGCTTGCTTGGAATGCTTAGCATCCTCCCAGGCTTCTGACTCTCCACTGGGGATGCAGAAGGTCTGCATTGCAGTTTAATCCACTACTGAGAATTCCTGTGCTTCTAGAAACCATCCTCTCACCTCCGAGGGACTCCATCTTGTCAGCTGCCCAGAGGAGACAAAACGGAACACTGCCCCATGGCTCAGTGCTTTGCACAGTTGTCAGCTCCTTGGCTGGCAAGCATCAGATTGATTAAAAGGAGGTTTTCTCAGACATAATCCTGCCCACTAGCCAGCCAAACATGTATGCAAAATGAATGGCAGTACTGGGAGGGGCTCTGTCCAGCCACCCTGGACATGGGTGTGAGTGTGCATGTGGGGTGTGGGTGTGTGCATTGTGAAAGTAAAAAGGGTGTGGGGTACAGAAAGAAATGGTCTTGTTTTCGATTCTATCATCGTTTTACGACCTCTGGCTCCATTTCCTCCTCTGGAGTTAAGGGAGCGAACTGTCGCCAGCCAGTCCCAGCCCTGTGATCTCTGCGCTGGTTTGTGTAGGCGGCTCCAGAGACACAGATGCAAGACTTGCGTGTCTCAAACTTGAAAAGGAACAAATTGCTGGGGGAGGGGGAGGGGGAGGGGAAAGGGTGTGGCTGCCTGCACACCCATCTGCCCCTCCTGAAACACTGCCACCCTTGAATGCATATCCAGGAGCTCCTTGGAATCTCAAAATACATCACGTATATTAGGATTTAGCTCCCTGCTCCCCACTGCACACTCACACCCTGCTGCACTGTGAGGATGGGCAGGCTGGTGTCACTCTCATTTTAAAAAACGTGGGTTTGTTCAGCGGCATGGGCTCTGAGGAGACCCTTGGGATGTGTGGATACCAGCTTTGGTAAAACCAGTGAGCAGGTGGCTGGAGGGACACTGTGGCCCCTCCTCTGGGCAGTACAAAGGCCTCCTCCCAGGCCCAGCTCCAGAACCAGGCTCTGTGCCTTGTCTACCTGCTGCCTGGCCTCAGGCCTTCCTCCTCCTCTGAGGGCCCTGGCATCCTAGAAGGCTGGGCTGCCTCTTCTGCCTGCCCTCCTGCTCCCTGTTCAGGCTTCCTACAAACACCTTCTCAACTCCAGAGGCTGCAATTAGCATTTTACAGCAGACAATCCAAGGCTAACACAGATAATGTCATGGACAGCACTGCTTTTATTCCCCTCTGGGATTAATGTCCTATGAATAAACATTCCACAAAGCCTATATTCATAGAAACGCTTATGATGTGGAATTGGAGCCAAATGGTGCCTATGGACAGCCTGGGACAAGGGAGCGTGGAGAGAAGGTGGGCTCAGGGGGAGAGGGGAAGCTGGGGGCTGCTTGCTCAGTGATTTGGAAGCTGCTGCATTGGTACAGTGCCATCAGTCTTCGTAGGCAGGACTTCAGACCAGGCAGGACAGGAGACCAAGCAGGGAGCTCAGGGAACCATGTCAGTCTCCACAGTGGAGTCTGGACTCCGGAGCTCTCGCCACGGTGTCCCACAAGCAACAGAAGAGACTCGGGGGTGGCAGGGTGAGGGAAGTAACACCTATGAGCTGATCCGTTCAGCGGAGAACTGGAGGTGGGCTCATTTGATATTGCGATTGCTCAACATCAAATCCCTTCAGGAGCTGCCATGTGCTTGCTTGACTGATTACATTTTTGTTTTTGAAAATAAAAAAATCTGTAGTATAGACAGCAAAATGTTAAAGCTGATGAGTGGGTACTTGGGCCTTTGATCTATTATTTCTGCATATTTCTACGTATTTAAATTATTTCATAATTTTATATATATATATATATATATATTTATTTATTTAAAAAGGAGGAACTGGATATTCTTTATTTCATTTGGCAGAAGCTGTTTTGGGAAGTCCGTCTTACCCATGCACTTTCCCTTCCCACCTGCTTTGTGAAGGTTCCAGACAGGGCCAGGAACACTGCGTTCCTTGACCGGCAAGGTTTTGTATCCCTGCTCCCCCCTCCCCCTGCACCTCTGCAGAGGAGCAGCACAATTCCAGCTTTGGCATACCCGGGAACCCCGGTGCTGGCCTCGCTGCACCCTCACAGCTCAGCTAATTCCAAGACGTGCAGGCAGCGCACTGCCTCTGTCTCTGCTGTAAACAACCAGCATGAATCATCGCGGAAGTCAGTAGTCATCTCTCCCCCGTTTGCAAAGACTGGGGAACTGCAGCATCACAGGGTGACCCGCTGGAAGCCACAGAGGGAAGATAACCTGGAGGGAAAACTAGAGCTGAAAAGCTGCAGCTGGGATTGAAGGCTGGAGGCTGGAGCAGTGAGCCCTTCTGTTCTGAGTAGGGCTGGGCTCTCCCAGCAAAGGGCCTGTGTCACCAGCAGCGACCGCTCAGGGGAGCCTTGGTCGCTGAATGGCTCTTTGGGTGGTGTGGTCTCCCTCTGGCCAGACCTACAGAGTGGCCCTCCAGCACCCAGCCTTGCTGAGTCCCTGCAGGCCTGCTCTGAGGGAAGGGGCTGATAGTTCAGACGTTCAGAGAAGGTGCCTGGTGGCTCCGGAACTGGTAAGACTATGTTCCAATGCTCGCAGCTGCTAGGAGTTACCAGGAGGACGTGATCAGGAGAAGCACTTGGCTTGAGCAGAAGGCATGGTTTCTAGGAGACTGGAATTGTTTCTTGGACCCCACCTCTACTTCTGTCTTTCCTGGACATTTTGCATCCAGAGTATGCTCTTATAATGTGACCATCATTTTGCTAAACTGTTTGGAATAAATTATACCCGGAATAAAATCTAAGTGCCTAGGGTCCTCTCAGAGAGTTCCCTTGGGTCTGATTTTATGAGAAACCACTTGCTATAGCCTCAGAAGCAGTTAAGACCCCCCAAATATTTTCAAACCAGTGTAAGTGGCTTGGATTTTTAAAAAGTGCTCCTTTTACAGAGAAATTGTAATTTTGTTGTTGAATTATACATTTTTAAGTCAAGACTTGAAGTATAGTTACTACATCATCATATATAAAATGTTTTCTTTGGGTATGGCTGCTGCAGCCCTTAGAAACCAACGTCATCACTGAGAGTGTCACAGACTTTAACAGTCCAGCCTTCTGTTCCGCCAGGGCACTTGAGGATCTGTTCTATTTGCTGCTTTAAAATAACAGCCCTCCCTTATTCTGAGGAGAGGCAAGGATCCATCGGCCTGGACTATTTATCAGTGGTTTCTGAAGACAGGAGAATGTTTATTTTGTGAGAACATTTGTCCTACCTTAATTTGCAAGGGACTTAAAAAGTAGCCACCATGAAACACAATAGTAAATATTTGATTCTTGTGAAACAGGTTAATGTTTGTGATGGAATTTCTTCTACATCAGAGCACCTTAAAAATCATTTTCCAATGGTCCCAATTTTTGTGTTTTCAGAGCCCTTGGACAGGAGGCGTTGCAGGTGCCGGGCATTGGAGGGACCTCACGCTCCGCGTTTCCTTCCCTAGCAGAGCTCAAACGACCTGCTGCCGCATCGGGCATTGTTCTCTCCCTCCTCACCCAGAGGAAAGTCCCCATGGCCCATTTTCTGAGCTGTGCTTTTCCACTCTTTCGTAATCTATTATTGTGACCTTGAGATGCAGAGAGAGAAGGCTTTGGCAGGACGCACTGCCTTTGGAACCAGAGCTGCTGCTATCTGTGCCCTGGACCACATGCTCCATGGCCATGGCCGTGCCAGTCCTACTGGTTCCTCTGCAACCGCCACCCAAGTCAGCGCCTGCAGGAGCGTGGACACTGAGAGGACTGGGACAGCGAGGAAAGTGTGCTTACAGAAGGGCCGTGTGTGTGTGTGTGTGTGTGTGTGTGTGTGTGTGTGTTAGAGATGCACAGAGGTACAGACACAGGAAAGAAAGAGACCAAGAGAATCTGCCTTTAAAGTAGACTTCAAGTTATTTGTTTCTAGGACTGTACCTGATAGATTTGATTCTCACCAAACTCAGTTGCAAAAACTCTATCCAGGGAAAGGAATCTGCAAGCCGGAGGCACGGAGCCGTGGGGACTCAGGGGCAGGAGGACTGTGGTCACCCTTGGGTCCCCACACTCGTGTCCCCGTTCCCTGCAGCCCCGTTCTTCTCTCTGTCTTCACCCTGCTTTGCGTGGGCAGATGCTCCTGCCAAAGCTTACTTCATCAGATGAAATGAAGGGGAATCTGATTTGCCACTAATTGGACTTAGTGTAGGCAATTAGGGTTAAGCTGCGATGAGGGAACCACCAGACGCTGGGATTTTCATCACAGTCCTGAGAAATTCTTCCAGAATTTAAGTGGTTGCAAATCACGATATTAGTTTACAGTGGCAATATTTTAAATCAGTTTAAAACAGGATATTGGCCGCCTGGAAATAGCCAGCTCAGGCATTGCCGTTATATAGATATAAATGTACATAATGTGTGTATGTGCATATATGTGTCTATACACAGACATATACACATATATACACACATATACACATACACTGTACACTTCTATATTTTTATATATACACCATATATATAAAAAGATAGTCAGTGGTGAGACTATATATGCATATCTCTCGCCAGGTGAACAAGGGCATTTAACAGGCACACAGGGTGTTTCCCTTTTCCTTTTCTCAGTTGCCTCATCTTCAATTCCTGTCTGGAATCAATCATTCACAGATAATGAGGCTAGAGCAACAGTTCCTGGGCCGTCTATCTCCTCCCGTGAAAGGAGTTTTCACTCTGCATGGGGCTTGCAGTATTTTAAGCCATCACCTCATCAGCACTTGTGGCGATGCTTCTGCCATGCCGCTGTTCAAATCTTAGAGCCTGCCCTGCAAGCAGAAGCATCCATTTCACCTACTGGTGCATTCAGTCATTTCATCCTTCACTTAGTATCCAACAAACACTTACTGATTGCTTGCTCTCCGGACAGCCCTGTGGACACCACCAATGGGGTGGGAGATGCATGTGTTATGTGTGACTGCATACGTGTGGTATGTGCGTATCTTCATGTGTCTCTGTGTATGTGTGTGCTATGTGAGTAAGCATGTGTATGTGTGTGTCTGTGTATATATAAATATATGTGTGCCTCTGTATCTCTGTGTGTTTGTATCTGTGTTGCGTGTGTTTGTGTGTGTCAGTGTCTGTGTGTGCGTGTGTCTGTGTCTCTGGGTATGTCTGTGTGTGCTTATGTGTGTGTCTGTGTCTGTGCATGTCTGTGTGTATGTCTGTATGTGTGCATCTGTCTATATGTGTGTATGTCTCTGTGTCTGTGTGTATATGTCTATGTCTCTGCGTGTCTGTGTGTGTCTGTGCATGCATGTGCATGTGTCTGTGTGTTCCTGTGTGTATCTGTGTGCCTGTGTGTGTGAGCTCACAGCTCTGGAACTTACATGCAGAAATAGGCATACACAATCGTGCCCACACACACCAGTTGCATGCTTATTCCTACTCTGTGGCTCTCAGGCTGCATGAGTAAGTCCCCAAGCCATTTCCCTCCCCGGTCAGAGCAGCCACCTGCTTTCAGGACAGCAGCTGCCATTTATGTTTCCATTTCTGGCACCCAGTGACCTCGCTGAGAGCGGCTGAGGAGAAACAGACACCGACACCCCGTCCTTATCTGCAGCAGCTCCCACAGAACCACAAAAAGGGGTATCTTCAAGGGTGGTGGCACAAAGCAAGGACGGCGATGACGGGGGTCAGGAAGCTGCTCAGGACATTGCATCGCCCCAAACTTTCTCCCCACAAATGCAGTTGCCTCTGCCCTGATTACGATTCCTGCCAGATACTCCGAGCAGAATGCACTTTTGCCATGGCCAGGCATTTTCCATGTTACTCTGTGCCAGCGGTGGCTCTGCATCTGAGACCTGCCATTCTGCACACTCAGGATTAGGTCTTAGTTTGGGAGCTGGGGCTCTCGGTCACTCCCAGCCCCCAGCAGGCAGATGTGCAGACCCCCTCGCAGGGGACATGCAGTGATCAGAAAGATCTAGGGAATATGGTGTGGTAGAGCAGCCCCGGGGACTCTCTAGATCCGACCCCAGAGGGTAAGTGGGACGTGGCAGCTTTCATTCAGCTGCAGGGGAGGTGAAGCCTTCCTCTAAGCCCCTGAAATTGACAGGTGACAGCGTCCTGGCCGCCCTTACACACTCTCCGCGCCTCCCCGGCCTTGGCGCCCACTCTGGCAGAGCTTGAGGAGCCCTTCAGCCCGCCGCTGCACTGTGGGAGCCCCTTTCTGGGCTGGCCGAGGCCGGAGCCGGCTCCCTCAGCTTGCGGGGAGGTGTGGAGGGAGAGGCGCGAGCGGGAACCGGGGCTGCGCGCGGCGCTTGCGGGCCAGCGCAAGTTCCGGGTGGGCGTGGGCTCCGCGGCCCCGCACTCCGAGCGGCGGACCGGCCCGCAAGCCCCGGGCACTGAGCGGCTTAGTGCCTGGGCCAGCAGCTGCTGTGCTCGATTTCTCGCCGGGCCTTAGCTGCTTCCCCACAGGGCAGGGCTCGGGACCTGCAGCCCACCATGCCTGAGCCTCCCCCCACACCGCCGTGGGCTCCTGCATAGCCCAAGCCTCCCCGACAAGCGCCGCTCCCTGCTCCACGGCGCCCAGTCCCATCGACCACCCAAGGGCTGAGGAGTGCGGGCACAGGGCGCGGCACTGGCAGGCAGCTCCACTTGCGGCCCCGGTGTGGGATCCACTGAGTGAAGCCTGCTGGGCTCCTGAATCTGCTGGGGACTTGGAAAATGTTTAGTCTAGCTACGGGATTGTAAATACACCAATCAGCACTCTGTATCTAGCTCAAGGTTTGTAAACACACCAATCAGCACCCTGTGTCTAGCTCAGGGTTTGTGAATGCACCAATTGGCACTCTGTATCTAGCTCAAGGT
Organism: Homo sapiens; assembly: GCF_000001405.40. Taxonomy (NCBI): domain Eukaryota; kingdom Metazoa; phylum Chordata; class Mammalia; order Primates; family Hominidae; genus Homo; species Homo sapiens. The sequence continues at coordinate 6,745,467 of NC_000006.12, read as the reverse complement.
TTGTAAATACACCAATCCACACTCTGTATCTAGCTAATCTAGTGGGGACGTGGAGAACTTTCGTGTCTAGCTCAGGGCTTGTAAACGCACCAATCAGCACCCTGTCAAAACGGACCAATCGGCTCTCTGTAAAATGGACCAATCAGCAGGACGTGGGTGGGGCCAGATAAGGGAATAAAAGCAGGCTGCCGCGCTAGCAATTATAACCTGGTCGGTTTTCTTTTGTGGTGTGTGTTTATATTGTGCGAGTTCTGTTCTTTTGTTCTGCGGTAAATCTTGTTGTTGTTTGCTGTTTAGGTCTATGTTCCCTTTATGAGCTGTAACGCACACCATGAAGGTCTGCGGCTTGGCTATTGAGTCAGTGAGAGCGTGAACCTACTATTAGAAGAAAAACTCTGAATACGTCTGAACGTCAGAAAGAACGAAGTTTGGACACATTGTCTTTAAGAACTGTAACACTCACCCCAAGGGTTTATGGATTCATTCTTGAAATCAGTGAAACCAAAAGCTTTCCAAAGTTTAACACACAGGGTAAGTCTGGGGTGGTCCAGCCTAGATAAGGGTTTGGTTTGCTGGGGTGATTTAATGTAGGATTATTGTCGGGCATAAGGGCAGTTTCTGACAGCTGGGGAGGATTGTAAAGAAAACCCATAATCCTTCAGCCCTGTTCTGCGTGGCCCGTGCTGTGGGTAGGATACCCTAGAGAACAAACTAGGGTAGAAGGCCTGGGGCCGGCAGACTGATCATGTGATGCTTAGCCTAACTACTATTCTCTCTAATCCTGCTAGTAGTAGATCTGCCAGTGTTCCATCTTAGCTGATGTTACTGGTGCTAGGGGAGTGACCTTTTGTGGCTTTCCAGCCATTAGCCCCTGTAGGATAGACTGGTTTGTACTGGTGCAGTCTGTTTAAAAACATGCATTCCTCATGGCTCATCAGTTTTGTGTGTTAAGTCTCGCCATGCAGGTGGTCTTAATCTTGTTTTCAACTTGTAGCTCTGCCATACCTGTCTCTCTAAGGAGACCTAACTATTGCCTACTTCCCACCTGCGGCCATTCATCCACCAGGCCCAAGCTTATGGGTGTTGAACAATACAGCTACTTATTTTTGACATTGTGTCTTTATGTGTGTGTCACTCCAGTGGAAGTCAACCCAACCGTGGGTAGGAGACAATACATGTATGAGGAAAGGGATCACAGGTACAGAAGTTCACAGAACTAATGCACTTTTTCACATTTTGGTGCTCATAATGCATTTTCCCCCTATAGATATGATTTGAGAAAGAAGACACTGAAAGAATGGAGGAATAGACACCAAGTTAATAAGGGTTCCTAACTGATGAATTTCACTCTTAGGATGGCTGAGCCAGAGACCACCATTTCATTCTTTTTGCTGTGCCCTGCCTGTTTCGATGGTTTTCCAGGATTCCCAACGTGATAAGTGTGTCCCAGTGTGACGTTATTTAATCTATTCTGGCAATTCAGTGTCAGTATCCGTTTTCCCTTCAAATATTTCACCAAAGTATTTATGCCCCACTACTGTATTTCATTGATTGTAAGATACACGCTGGTTTTTATTAGCATTTCTGAAGTTGAAATGCGTGGAACATTGGTGGTGTGTCATAATACTTTAGGATTTGTTACTTAGTGGTACACCAAATAATGGTAGGTTGATGGTGTTTTAGATTGCCTCGAGAGTTCCTCAATCAGTAATAGTAGTTCTAATAACTCCTTTCCCAACTATGGGGAGAACACAGGCTCCTTTCTGTACCTGAAAGAATCTTGCAGGTGCTGCCCTCAACGTCTACTCCAAACCTACTTGACTCTATCTCGGTGACTGGCTTCAGTACTTTAACCTCCTACTTGGTGTTGGCTTCCCAGCCTGGGTCTCGACAGGGCTGGCCATTGGTCTGAATCCTTGCTTTGCCTCTGGTCTCCATCCTCTGCCACTTCTTGGCTCCGTACTCTGCAGTCGGCAGGCATTTGCACGTGCGTGAACACCTGCGGGGACTCGGCTGCCTGCTTGCCAGGGCCATGAGACCTGAAGGAGGACACAGCCTCTCCTTTTTGCTTTTGTGTTCTCATCGCTTTGCCCAGTTACTGGCACATGGTAAGGACCCCTTACCATGTTGACACAATCCGTGAGACAACAGCTTCGTTGTTTTTATCCACGCGAGATATATAGGTGCAGAACATTTATTTTTTTCCCCCCACAATAAGGAGGAGCTCTGCCACAGAGCTGTTTCCTAGGCATTTAGTCTTGACAGCTATTTGCTGAATTTTTTCTTTTCCATGTGGTGCATTTTTTTTTTCCCTGGCCCTTTGGCTGGGATGGGATTTGGTTAGCATTGCCGGGGGTGTGCATGGGCTGAGGTGGGGCATATGTGTCTTGTCTCTTTCTGCATAGCTTCATACCTGGCTTAGCCTTGAAATTTCCAGTTTATGTGGGGGCAGGTCCAGGTTTGCTGCTGAGCCCTGCACTGGAGCCAGGTAAGCCTCCACTGGTTGCCTTCCAGCAGAGCCTGGATGAAGACTGTTTGCATCTGTCAAATGAATAGGATTCAGTCCTGGTACCTTATGTATGTCAGGTTCATCTCCAGCTTTCATCCATCTTTTCTGTAAAGGCTGTGGCTCCTAACTCGGTTAACTCTCAGTAAGGGCAGCTATCCTCCTATTAGGATAATTGAGCTTCCCTGTGGATTGAATACTTTGACCTTGCTGGAGGACAAAGGAGAATTAAGGAGGTAAGGTCCCTGCCATCAAGAACTCTCCCCGCCCCCACACTCAGCAACAAGCTGAGAAGCAGGACAGGACACACAATCAATATGCTTCTCATATAAGAGACTGATTGTTCATAGTGACTGGTGATTTTTTTTCTTGAATATTCACTCAACCAGATTTTGGTATGCCAGCTTAGATTTCTTTTAGAAAATAAGGGCTACCAGTGTTTGGAGTAAGGCACTAGTCTTGCCTCTTTTTCTTTTTCTTTTTTTTTTTTTTTTTTTTTCCTTTTTTTTTTTTTGTTGTTGTGGTTGTTGTGGTTGTGGAGTGGGAGTTTCGCTCTTGTTGCCCAGGGTGGAGTGCAGTGGTGCGATCTCAGCTCACTGCAACCTCTGTCTCCCAGGTTCAAGTGATTCTCCCACCTTGGCCTACGAAGTAGCTGGGATTACAGGCACCTACCACCATGCCCGGCTAACTTTTATATTTTTAGTAGATATGGTTTTGCTGTGTTGGCTGGGCTGGCCTTGAACTCCTGGCCTAAACTGATCCTCCCACCTTGGCTTCCCAAAGTACTGGGATTACAGGCATGAGCCACCGTATTTGGCCTTTATTTTCTTTAGTTGGGGGCTGCAGCAGGAGCTCAGAGTGCAGTAGCCCTAAGATGGGCCGATGGGAAGGTGTTTTGCTGTGGGTGTGCTATGACTGGCCTGTATGGGCTCCTGGGAGCTGACTGTTAATATATTTAGAAATTTTGCTAGCTGGTTGGCCATGGTAGGAGTATTTATACCAGGGAAACTAGCAAATGGCATGTCAGGGCTTTTTCTCCTGCTCCTCTGTAGAGCCAGCTTACCAGGACACCACTGATGACTGCATGGAGCAGCCAGGAGGGATTATGGCTGGTTATTTCACTTTCTTTTTTTTAGTCCTGAATTTTATCAAGGAATATAATACAATATATTATATATATTATCTTACATAATTCTTACATATTATATCACATTATAACTAATCTTTGATAAATTTCAGGACTAAAATGTAACTACTTATATATATTCCTTATATATAATATTGCCTTATATAACATACTATATATAATCGTTGTAATATAATACATATAAAAAGGAATATGATATAAATGTGTCCCACTATAAATAGGACAAGAAGACAGGCATACAATTAGACTATGGAATAGTCCATAATAAAGAATCAAGAGGTTGAAAACACCAGCCTTGGAGACATCAGTATCCAGACACTGTAGGAGGTGCTGTGGTGACCAGTGGGGATTTGGAAGGAATGCAAGTGTCACTTTCATTAAGTGCAGCCCTGCCTCGCCGCTGCTAGTCAGCAGCTAAGGCCCTGCACTGAGGGAGGCCTGCCTGGCCCAGAGGTTACACTGCCCCTTCTCCTTCCCACCCTAGGGCACAAAAGCCACTCCCTTGCCTCAAAGTAAATTACCTATGTGAGGGTTATGAACTGCTGGCGTTTAAGCCAGCAGCTTCTTTCAAGTTTTTGCCAATTAAAGGCAATTAGGCAAGCACTAGAAGAAATCATTAACCCTCTAGTGAAACCAGAGCATTTCTATATTCTCCCCCCTTTGTGGAGCAAGTGCTAAAAGCAATCATTTCCAAAAAGCCGAAGCAACAAGGATGAATCCTCCCATCTCCATCACCAATGCCCAGTGGACCAAGGTTTTGGTATGAAGAAATGAGTTTTCTTAGCTATCATTATCAGCAGTGCTTTTACCCAAATGCAAATTCCTTGCTCCAGCCTGTCTTTGACACAGGGGTGGGCGACTTCTCAAAGGTGGTGCAGGGAATAAGCCCCCAGGAGGTGGCATCTGAGCTAGGACTGAAGACCTAAGGGAACCAGCCCTGCGAAAATCTGGAGGAGGAGACATCAAGTCCCTCACCACATCCCAGGAATGAAAGACCCAGGTAACAGCCTCAGGTGGGGCGGGGGAGGCCAGAGCCGCCTGGGTGGCCCTGCCGCTCTGTGGGCCTTGTCAGCCATGTGGAGGAGTTCAGGTATTTCTAAGTATAAAAGCTTCCAGGTCGGGCATGGTGGCTCAAGCCTGTAATCCCAGCACTTCGGGAGGCCAAGGTAGGTGGGTCACCTGAGGTCAGGAGTTTGAGACCAGCCTGACCAATATGGTGAAACACCATCTCTACTAAAATTACAAAAATTAGCTGGGTATAGTGGTGTGTGCCTGTAGTCCCAGCTACTCGGGAGGCTGAGGCAGGAGAATCGCTTGAACCTGGGAGACGGAGGTTGCAGTGAGCTGAGATCATGCCCGTGTACTCCAGACTGGGCGACAGAGTGAGACTCCATTAAAAAAAAAAGCCTTCAGGCTCATCACCTTGGTGAGGCAACCACCAATTTAAGTGACCTTCCAGAGCCCCCAGGCATCCCCCTACACAAATACTTTTTTCTAAGAGTGACTAAAATTGGTGTTTCCTAACCTACATAAAAAATCACTTAGGTGAGCAGTATAAAATACCACTCACTTTTCCTCCCCTATAAGATTACAGATATATCTAAAGTCTTCAGGTCTGTATATAGTAGTGACTTAGCTACATCACTGGTTAAAGTAAATGTGCCAGGACTGACTTCCCAGGTCTCTCATAGGCACGCCCTTCAAACCCACATTGAACCTGAAATCCCAGTGTTCCAGGTTCAGTTGGTTTCCAATGGCACCCAGGTGTCAGGTTGACCCGATAGGATGCCTTAGGTATCGGGGCCGTGGGGGGATGGGAGGATGCAGGTGCCACCTTAAAGCATCACACCATCCCACCAGGCTGTTCCAGAAAACACAAAACTTTTTCAGACTCTGTCTCCAGAAAGGGACTTAGTCTCCAAAGAGGTTGGTTTTATCTAGATGAGTTGATAGAGAATGTCTGCTGGAATTGGGCTCTGATTCAGTCAGCGTTTGCTATTTAAATCAGTCTTAGATAACTTCCCTATCAATTGCATTCTCTCTTGCATGAAAATTACTTCCTGACTGCCTCCTCCTAGCTCAGTACTGTTCTATTGCTTAGGACAGGAGTGGGCAGTGCCCTCGTAGATGTTCATGCGTGTACTGATAAAAATTACCTATAACTCTTAGTGTGATCTAACACTTCAAGCAGTATCTGAGAGAAGGGGTATCGGATATAAAACAAATCATGGCCTGCCAGAGAAGAGTCCTTCAGTGAGCTCTTGAGAGTTGAAGCCAAAGAGGCCAGATGCTGAAGAACTTGGATGCTGTCTTAATGAGTTTCACAGTTAGCCTGTAGGTGATGGAGAGTCATAAAAGAATTTTAAGTAGGGGAATGACATAATCACACTTGCATTTTAAAAATACAGCTTTGGCTGTGATAAGTGGGGAACGGGATAAGGGTTTAACTTATCATGCACACTAAATTACTTCAAAACATAATGCCTTCAAACAACAGCACATTTGGTTGTGTGTGTGGCAGGGTGGAGATCAGGATTTCTGGAGCTGCTTAGCTGAGAGGTTTTGGTTAAGGGTCTCCCAGGAGGTTGCCATGAAGGTGCAGGCTGGGGTCACAGGCACTGGAAGGCATGGCTGGAGCAAGCAGACCATTTCCAAGTGGCTCACTCTCATAGCTGCCAAGTTGGTGATTGCTGTTTGTAGATACATCCAGTTCCTTCCACATCAACCCTGCCATAGGCTGCTTGAGTAGTCTCATGACATGGCAGCTGGCTCACCCCAGAATAAGGTAAGAATGATCTGAGAAAGTGGTGAAAGTGGCAATGTGTTTTGTGATCTGACCTCAGAAATGACGTATTGTCATCTTCTATTTGGTAGAGGAGAGCTGTTATGTCTAGCTCACGCTCAAGGTAAGGGAATTAGACTCCACCCTTTGAAAGAAGGTGTGCTAGAGAACTTGCAGATGCAATTTAAGATGTTTGTGGAGGTTCCAAAATAAGAGGTTATTTTATGAATCAGGTGAAAAGGAAAAGGGGTTGTAATCTAACCCTAAAGCAGTGAGAACAGGGCACAGATTTAAAAGCCATTAGGGTGCTGGAATTGATAGGCTTCGGACACTGCTTGTAATTAGTCTTAGCTGGGAGGAATCTAGAAGAGTTGCAATCTATAGGAGGAAGGGTATGGTCAGGACATGCTACATGTGAGATGCCTTGGTACAGTGAAGTAGACATTTCAAATAGGCAGTTGTACATACGAATCTGGGATTAATCTGGAGGTCGTAAGTGTGAAAGCTATGAATATAGATGAGATCACTTAGGCAAAGGGAGTTGTGGAGAGTGGCCACAGGATTAAAGGGTGGGAGCAGAGTGTGGGAGAGGGCACTTAGAAATGTTTCCAGGCAAATGTTGGGGGCCTTTGGAGGTAGGTGATTATGCATGTCCTGTGGTGACTGACTACATGGTTGCCTCAAAGAACTATCTGCTTGATTGCAGGTTTGATGGTGGTAGATAGTGTGAAGACTTTAACTTCTGTGCCTCAGTTTCATCATCTGAAAAATGGGCATAACGGCAACTACCTTATGGATTAATATAGGATTAAATGGGATAATGGGTGTAAATGCTTAGCAAAGCTCATAGCATTTAGTAAGTGCTCAGTAAAAGGTCACTATAAGCATTGGCAAATACCCTCTTGACTAGGATTGAGGACGAGAATGAGAAAGTAATGAGATAGAGCCATAAAAGCAAATGTGTAGAAAGGAGTTTATCTACTAGGCTGTGAGGACTGCTGAAGGATGTTGAGCTGGGGTGACTTAGAGTCTGCATTCAAAGTCCTGGCAAGAAAGTGGACTGGAGCCCCCAGGGCAGATCAGGGTGCCTTCTCACAGGGTCATGGCACCATGCCCTGCTTGGACTTTGCTTTGCTTTCTTTCTTTACTGGGACATTCAGGCGAATGCGTAGTTGAGGAAACAGATGATGAGTTACCGTTTCCCTCACTGGGTCTGATCAGAGCCACACACAGTGATTAGGGACAGGGGATCTGGTGCTCCGTTCACTGCAGGGGAACATTCCTCCGAGGGACCTCTTTCTGATTGTTCTAATCATCCCTGCTGGTTGGACAGCAGAGAGGGGCACGTTTTTCTGAAGTTGCTCCAGTCTGGAGTTCTCAATCAGATGAAAAGGAAGCCGCTTGTCATGAGGCGGGGCTCTGGGCCATGTGGAAACTGAGACAAGTCATGTCCAGAAAGGCGCACCTAATCAGCGGCTTATCTTTGGGCGTAGAGTCGAGCGGTTGATATGTGTTTCTGCATGCACTCTCCCAAGGTGACCTATGGCCATGGCAGTCATTGCTGTGGCAGGCTGTGTCTGAGATCACAGGAACGGGTGATGAGGAGCCCCTGTGTCCTGCCCTGAGGACCCAGCGGCCATCTTGCCCGCGGAGACTACAAGTCCCAGCATGCACTGTGCAAGCCCCCGGCATCAGCCCCTGTTGCAACAGAGGCCCGGAGCCGCCTCCTGCCTCCCTCAGAAATGCCCTTTCTTAACTTCCAGCAAGTTGGCAGGTGGCCGCCCAGCCCAGGACTCGAGCAAATGCTTTCAGTGTGATGGTGGTGCCATTTTTAATTCCTGGTGGCTTCCTTACACCATGGTGAGGCAGAAAAACGAGATCTCTTGCAGAGCACGGCCTCGCCTCTCATTCAGCCGGGACCAGAACTCTGGCGAGATCCAGAATATTGTCAGATGGGAGCTGTGGCCGTGAATAAAAAAAATGAAACCAGATGTTCTTCCCTCCAGTTGCCTCATGTCCGTGCAGGGGCTTGGAGGAGGAGGCTGTAAAAATGTCACAGCCCTTGATTCCTGAGGCCCAGATTTACGCGCCAAGTAACCTTGCACCATAAATCCACTGCCCTCGCTGGAGCATCAGCTTCCGAAGGGGCAGGGCCCAGCTGTGGTGTTGACCAGAGCAGGCGGACGGAGCTGTGGGGACGCGGGTGGGGAACACGTGGGCAGGGAGTCTGGCCGGGAATCGAGATTGCTTTTCAAGAATTTTTACATGGGCAAGAGATTTTAAAAGATTGGCTCGGAGTTTGGCCTTAGGAGATACGCCAAACTCTATTTTGCATCTTAGCCTGAAAGGGAGCTTGATTTCTCTTTGGAGTGAATTGGCAGATGCAAGAGAACTTGGGAATGGAACTCACATAGGCAAAGTTTTCATTGCAGGTTGAAGTATTTGCAGGAGAAATGAGAAGCCGGCAGAGGCCAGACCCTGTGAGCCCATAGAGGCTGGGATTTATCCTGAGTGCCACAGAAAGATTTTGGATTTAAGTTTTAAAATGGTTATTCTATCTGCCGTGGAGAGAACAGATTATAGGGGTGGAGATGAGAATGGAAGCAAAAAGGCAACGTAGGAGTATAGAAGTCCATGCAAGTGATGGTGACGTGGACGAAGAGGAAGTGTGAAAATGGTGGCTCAGAGGTGGGGTGAACAGACAGTGGGAAAAATTAGGGCTACTTCCAGGGATTCTGGCATGTGCGGTGGAGGGGATAGGGATGTCACTGAGACAGAAGCCTGGAGGAGGAGCAAGTTTGTTGATGAGATTGAGAGTTTAGTTTGGGACATGTTGGGTTGAAAACACTTATCCATGCCGATGTTTTAAACAGACACTTGGATATATGGGTCTGCAGATATGAAAGCTCAGGGCTAAGAGAAACTGGGGAGTCACCTTATAGATGGCAATCAAAAAGGTGTTTGGGCCACAGTTACTCTGTGCTGTTGACACTATCATTGTTGTCACCTTTTGCCTCTCCCTGGCCACCCCAATAACACCAGGCGGGCTTTAGGTCATGGATGCAATCTCACGCATTGCTGTTCCCCCTCTGTCTAGCATCTGTTTTTATTTTTCCAGCTGGACCAAAAAGTGACACCACTGCTACCATACATGGTACAAAAGCTTCTTATCCTGACTCTAGACAAGCAGAATTCCTCCCAAGTTCCCCATTTCTGCCTTTTTGCATCATCTGTCTCAAGTTTTCTGCTCTTAACATTCTCCCCATCTGTTGACATTTTTATGGTGGGTCTAGCCTTATTGTCACTAAACATCGTTGATTTACTTTATTTTATCCATGTTGCTTGAAGTACGTGATTAGTTTTTAGTACATTCTAATGACTAAATTCTGATAGCTGACTTTACAAAATGCTTCTAGGTGTATGTCTAACCAGCTGATGATCAGGGCATCCCTGTTCACGGTGGGGACTGGTGGGGACGTCACTTGGTGATGCCCATTAAGAAGGCAGGTTGCAGTGGGTCATTCTGTGTATGCTTAACATGTTAAATGCAGTTTCCATTTTACATAGCTGCGTCGTCTGTTCTAATTAAATAGTAACAAATGTTCCATTCAGTGGATTCTTCATATAAAATGACTCAAACAACTTTCCCCTCCCCCAAATAAGGCTGGAAACGGATGCACACTTGTGCCATGGAGTTAAAACCTGCACTCGTGTGTCCAAAGCCTGAACAGATGCACTGGGACAGCTGAGTGTTGCTTTGTTGATTGGCAGGGGGTTGATTGTGGTCTAATGCGGAGCCTTAGCGCTGCTGTTTGATCCCAGGACAGGTCTCTTTCTCCCCATATCAGTGAGCCTCATCCCCCACTTAATCATGAAGTGCTTAATCATGAGGCTCAGAAGGAACTGACAGAGCCTCCCGCCCCAGCACCTTGCCAGGGGTGCCCCCAGCTCTGCCTACTCCTAGTGTGTTTAGCCTTTGCGGATTCCTAGATTCCTCCTGGACTGGATCTTCAGATTTCAACCCCCTTTGGGAGACTCGTTACTGTTAACTGGGATGGCAGTGCGGATCCAGGAGTCAGGAGAGTATGTGCTGTACAGGAAAGTGTGTAGAAGGTCAGATGGCTCACAGCGGGCGTGGAGCACAAGAAGCAAAGAGAAGCAGGTTGGAGCTCTGTCTGGGGGAGAACGGCCAGGTCAAGGCAGAGGCTGAAACGAGCTTAGAAAGCAGATTGAGAGGGAAAGACTGGGTGAGGGTGGGGTGGTGGTGGAGAACCAGGCCAGAGGGTCATGGAAGCCAGGGGAGAAGAAATTTCCAGGAGGAAGAGTGATGAGTCAGTGCCCCGCAGAGGTTATTAAGACACAATAGAAGTGTCCATTAGACTTGGAAATTCAGCAGTAACCAGTGTGATAAGAGCTGGTTAATGGACATGTGGTGGGTCCCAACACCAGCCTACAGGAGGTTAGTAAGTAGGACAGTGAAAGTACTTTTAGAAAATTTGGCAAAGAGGGGCAGAAGTTAGAGGGAATGCCAAAGCTGCTGGAGGAATCTGATCGCTAGTTTCTGTGTGTAAGGTTTTCTGCTGTTTTGCTCGGAGGCAGGGGTTTATAATGGTATTTACTTCACGAAGGCTCAAGTCTCCAGCGGTGTGTCTGGAGGGGGTTATATATGCCAGAAAGGGGTTGGAGTAACAAACCAAGAGATCTGCCCACTTTTTAACCACCCACTCTTCTGCTCGACAGCTGCACCTGTGCCTTTGCAATTCAAACCTAGGGACTCGCCACCCTCAGTGCCCAGTCAAAACCCGCTAAAGCCCTGGCAAGGAAGCCGTTTGGTGCAATTCCTGCTATCCCTGGGAGAGTATTTTTGTTGTCTTCATTATGGTTTTGCTTTTCCCTGGAGAGAATTGTGATGGGTACGACGAAGGGCACACCTGGAGAGAGGGTGAAGAGAACAGGGAGGGGATGCTAGCGCAGAGAGGAGAATGAGGTCTGCACAGCAGTGTCAGGCCAGTGAAGGCAGGAGCGAGCAGGAGGCAGGGCAGGGGTGAGTTGCAGAGCTCAGGGCATTCATGACTGGCCAGCTCACCTTTCCCTGTTTAGTAGGGGGCAAGGCTTCCTATTGTGCAGGATGACGAGGGAGCCATGAGGCTCCAGGAAAAAATCTGAGGCTGAACTGTTGTGGGGGCTGAGAGGGAGCTGAATGGGGCTGGGAGAGGACTGTCTCATCACCATGGCCCGATCAAGGCTAAGGATGCAGACTTGGTGTCCCTGGCGCAAGTGGTCCAGAGTTTCTTCCATCAGTGCCATCAAGATGGGGGAAGGAAGAAAGTACGTGGGAATTAGGGGAGAGGTCAAGACTGTAAGGCAGGTGAGATTATGGGCTGATGGGTCAGAGGATCTGGGGGTCATGAGCAAGTCATCCTTTCTCTAGCCCCTCCCACCCCAGCCTCTTTATTGAAAAGCTGGTTTATTTCACTCCTGTGTTTTGATACAGAGAGAGGCCGGTGGGAGCATTTTTCCTTCTGGTAATCCATGCGCTGAAACAAGACCTGGCAGTGAGGAAGGGCCAGGAAAGGAGGCAGGTGGGACTGGTTGGCAGTGGGAGGCAGAAGAACTATGCTGATAGACCAGACCTAGCGTGTGATTTTTCTTATTAGGCTTTGTTTTTAGAGCAGTTTTAGGCTCACAGCATAACTGAACAGAAAGTACAGAGTTCCCATATGCCTGCCCCCACCCCTAAACGGTTGCTTCCATCAACATCCTGTACCGGCGTGGTCCATTTGTAACAGCTGATGAACTGACATTAACACATCATTTTCACCCAAAGTTCACAGTTTGTATTAGCGTTTACTCTTGGTGTTGTACATTCTATGGGTTTAGACAAATGTATTATGCCATGAATCCATCACTGTAATATACAGTTTCATTGCCCTAAAAATCCTCTGTTCTCCACCTAGTCATCCTTCCCTCCCCTCTAACTCCTGGCAACCACTGATCATCTTCCTGTCTCCATAGTTGTCTTTTCCAGCATGTCACATAGTTGGACTCATACAGCATGTGTAGCCTTTTCAGATTGGCTTTGTTTACTTAGCAATATGCATTTAAGTTTCTTCCATGTCTTCATGGCTTCCATATTGCGTTTTTTAGTACTGGATAATATTCCACTGTCTTGATGCACGATGGTTTATCCATTCACCTATTGAAGGACATTGTTTCTAGCAATTTTATTCATTGGTTGCTACAACATGGAAGCAGTGAAGGGTATGTGCAGGGTTTTGTGTGGACATGTTTTTAACTCATTTGAGTAAATACCAAGGAGTACAAATTCTGGAGTATATTGCAAAAGTAGTTGCTTTGTAAGAAACTGCCAAACTGTCTTCCAAACTACTATTTGGCATTCACACAGCAATGAATGGGAGTTCCTGATGCTCCACATCCTTGCCAACATTTGGTGTTGACGGTATTCTAGATTTGGCCATTCTAATAAGTGTGTAGCAGTATCTCGTTTTAATTCGCAATTCTCTAATGATATATGATGTGGAGCATCTTTTCATATGCTTATTTGCCAGCTGTATGTCTTTTGTGAGGTATCTGTTCAGATCTTTTGCCCATTTTTAATTAAGTTGTTTCCTTATTGAGTTTTAAGACTTTTTATATATTTTGAATAACAGTCCTTTATCAGATTTATCTCTTGCAAATATTTTCTCCAATCTGTGGCTTTTCTTATTTTCATGACAGTGCCTTTCACAGAGCAGAAGTTTTTAATTTTAATAAAGTCCAATTTATCAATTCTTTAATCATTTCTTTGGTGTTGTCTAAAAAGTCATTCCCAAACCCAGGGGTCATCTAGATGCTTTCCTATGTGACCTGCTAGGAGTCTTAGTTTTAGGTTTAACATTTGCATCTATGATCCATTTTAAATTAATTTTTGTGAAGGATATAGTCTGTGACTAGATTCTTTTGCATGTGGATGTCCAGTTGTTTCAGCACCATTTACTGAAAAGACTATCCTTTCCCCTTTGTCAAAGATCAGTTGATTATATTTGGGTGAGGTCTGTCTGGGTTTTCTATTTTTTCAATGAACAAATATGGTCATTGACCTATTTTGCCAGTGCAAGACTGTCTTGATCATAGTTTTTTGATTTATCAATTACAGGTAATATCAATTGGCTTCCTCAGAGTTAATGAAAAGTTGGCTCCCTTATGCTCTTATCTTTCCTCATCCCTCTTTATATAGCTGCATAGTTTTTTGTTTAAGTCTGTCATTCAGGCTGGAGTACAGTGGCATGATCTCAGCTCACTGCAGCTGCCTCCTTCCGGGATCAAGCAATTCTCCTGCCTCAGCCTCCCAAGTGGCTGAGATTACAGGCACCCACCACCATGCCCAGCTAATTTTTGTATTTTTAGTAGAGACAGGGTTTCACCATCTTGGCTAGTCTCAAACTCCTGACCTCAGGTGATCCGCCCACCTCCCAAAGTGCTGGGATTCCAGGCATGAGCCACTGGGCTTGGCCTATAGTTGCTTTTAATTACATCAATAATCACTTTATAACACCAAAACTATGTCGATATTGTTAATAGCAAATCTGCGTGGTGCATTAGGATTACATTTTTTCTTTAGATTTTGTTTCCCTTGAAGTTATCTCTTTGCCACACTTATTAACTTACATGCTACTTTTATATGCATATGTGTAATAGTTTAAAAACATGTCAAAAATTCAATATTCTTATAAAATGCAGAGCCCTATTTCCCTTGCCTTATAAGTGGGCTGTACTTAGTGAATTGCTTCTAACAAATAGAACATGGCAGAAATAATGACATGTGACTTCTGAGACTAGGTCATAAAAGGCATTACAGCCCCCCCCCACGAACTTTCTCATGGATTGCTTTGGGGAAAACCAGCTGCCATGTTAGGCCACTTGAGCAGCCCTCTGAACAGGTCCATGTGGCAGGCAGCTGAGGCCTGTTGCCCACAGCCAGCAAGGAACTGAGGCCTTCTGCCAACTGCAACATGAGTCAGCCATGGTGGAGGCTGATTCTACGGTTCTGGTCATGCTCTCAGCTGACTGGAGCCCCAGCTGACATCTTGACAACCTCAGAAGAGATCCTGAGCTGAAACTACCCAGCTAAGCTGCTCCCAGATGCCTCATGCTCAGAAAATAGAAGATAATAAATGCTTATTTTAAGTCTGAAAGTCTCAGGGTAATTCGTTATACAGTACAGCATATTTGATTTCTTTCTGATGATCACTTTGCCACTAGATCTGCCATATTTCTACTCTGTTAAGTCTATGTAATTTTTCCCTGGATGTCTTCCCCTTCTACTCTTGTGTGGACTGCACAGTGTAGCTGTCAGCTCTTCCACCCTGCTGACTGGACTCACTGGTTCCTAGGTCCCTTCTCTTCCCTTATTTTCATTTATATTCCTTTCTTTTCCTGAAACCCATCAACTATTAGCTCCTAGAAGGCATATGGAAGGTAAATTTTCGTCCTTGCATGTCTAAGGATAATTCTATCTACTTTTGTTCTTGATCAATGGTATGGTTGATTGCAGAATTCAAGGTAGAAAAGTGTTTTCTTTTAAAACTTTGAAGGCATTCTTTTTTTCTAGCATCCAATGTTGTGCTTGAAGTTCAATACCATTTACATTCTAGTTATTGTGTATATGACTTAGTTGTCCCCCTCATTGGAAGTTCTGGGCTCATTGATTTGTCCCTTGTGGAATTTTATGCTGTGCCTTGGCATATGTTTGCCGAAATAAAACCCAACTAAAAGTGGTTCATACTGCAAGTTGATTTTTTTTATCTTGCATAATAAGTCTAGAAATAAGGTGGCTCTGGGGTTGATTAACATTGTGGCTGACTTACATCATCAGGGACTCAAGTTTTCAAAAATCTGTTCTGCCAGAGTACCTTGGGTATTTCCCTTCATGGGCAGAAAATGGCAGCAGTGTATGTTCCAGATACAGAGGGTTGGGATTAGCTCTTCTGACTTGTGGAAACTGTGAAATATTTCCTACAATTAATCCCAGTCTTGAGTGAGTTTCTCTTGTGCTCCCATGTCCAAAATTAAGGGATCAGCTCTTAAACTTATCACCAGATAAAGGGAATACAATTAATAGAGTTTAGATTAATTAATCTTTACTCCATGGAACTGGGGTTAGGGTTGGTCTTTCCTGATAACATGACTTTGCGGTAGAATATGGGGATTTTAAACAATCTGAATCCTATTACAAAGAATAAGGCAAGAGCTATGGGAGGACCATCAAAATTGGCTGTTATAGGGGGTGTGTCACTCATTGTGATATACTTGTTGAGGTTGCCTATCTGCTGATGTCCCTCTTGTTTGCTGTTTGTCCTTGTGGATTTCTGCCATTTTGTTCCTTTATTATCATTTTAATGAGATCTGTGAAGGGAGAGGTGATAAATGTGTGTGTTCAATGTGTCACCCCTATTTGAAGCCCCTTAGCCTGTGCTTTTCAAACTGAGTTGTAATCTATTAGCAAGCTAGGCTCAGGATTTTAAAACAATGAAATAACATACAATACGATCTGGTATTTTCTGTATTGCAGAGAGTGAAGTGAAATATTGTTTCAGAAGATGTTTCAGTTGAGTATGAGTGGCTGCGTACTGAGTAGAGATGTAAAATGTGTTTCTCGCCATAAGCTGCATTGAAAAACTTCTGGGAAGCATTGCTTCAAATAAATCTCTTCTAAGCATTTTGTGCTCTACCATGTTATCTTACTGTGGCTGGTTTTACAGATATCTGAGGTTAGGAGAACACAGCTAGCATATTAAGCTCCATGCTTGCGTAAGGCAGCAGACAGGTAAGACTAAGAGGCACTGCGCATGGATACTGGCTAACACCTGCTCTCCGTAGTCAGGGCTGGTCCACAGAATGTGCAGAATTCTGCTTTCAGGAGTCTCCTATCCATTCAGCAAATGTCTGTCGAAAGGTTGCATTCCCCAAATGTTGGAGCTTCAGATGAGTTGTTCTCATGCTAGGCTTCTGCTGAGTTACGGCTCATAAACCTGGAGCTTCAAAACACAATGGGATCATGGTTGGTTTTCACAAAGTATTTTAAATCCATCTTGCCCTTTCCAGGCAGATGTATTCCGCAAAGCCTGATATGTACATTTCCTGTGTCTAAAGATTCTCAAGACATGAAAACATCCTACCGTGAAACCAATATTCTTAGAATCAAAATGCATCTTGGGAAGCTCTTTCCTCTGAGGCTGCTTTCAGCTGCTCCAGTAACCAGCATGAAACCCCACAACTCAACAATCCCCGTGGCCACAGGGTGGCCTGGAGAACTTCTCGGTCTGGTGGCCTTTTAGTCTCTTCTTGCCCTTAGGGTTTTGCCTCATTCAATGCCCCTGACTATTTCCATCTTGCCATCTTTGTTACATTGGTTTGTTGTCCATTTTGAAAATTCTTTGTTAATTTCTACCTACTTCCTCCAACATTTACTCCTTCCTCTCTTTCTAACTTACCCAATTACTGTCCTAACTGGTTTTTTCCTTCCTTACCATCCTTATTTTGCTGACTTTTTTTTTTGCCCTTCTATTCTCTGCTTCAACATCCCCCATGCAACCCCAGACCCCGTCCCTCTCGCTGTTTCCAAGCACTGTTGACATCCCCCTTGCCCCCTGCTGTGAAGGCCTAGGCTAGGCAGAACATGCCTCACAGACAGTGCACAGCGGGGAAGGCAGCCTGTGGGAGGTGGCGACTCTGAGGCTCTGAATATCAGAGCTGGGCCCTCACAAGGAAGGGCTCCTCTGCTATGTCTTGTCCAAAACTTTCATCATGTTACCCGTAGGAAGTCATAAAGGTCCCTCTTTACCAAATTTGCTGGTTACTGAATGTTGAGAGACTAACATTTAGTGGGACAGAATCAAGATCCAAAACATCTTGGAAGGCATGGAAATAGGCTGATTCTAACAGGAAAATATGCCACTGTCTTCACCTGGAGTGGGGGGGGGGGTGGCAAATGAATCGCACAGGAGCAGGATAACGGAGCTGTAGCTGAGGAGTGAAAAAGACTTAAAAGGGTTTTAGTCAAAAGTAGGGTAAAAGAAGCCACCAGCAGATGTGGACCCCACAAAGCTCATTTGAGGTTAGACTTGAGAGAAATACAATGGAGTGAGCAGCTGGTCACACACCACACTCAAAAAGGAAATGGCCAGCCATCCACATTTGTCAAGAGCAACCAGGGACAGGTCGAAAGAATTAAGCATGGGGCTGGGCGCAGTGGCTCATGCCTGTAATCCTAACACTTTGGGGAGGCCAAGGCAGGCGGATCACCTGAGGTCAGGAGTTTGAGACCATCCTGGCCAACATGGCGAAACCCCATCTCTACTAAAAATACGAAAATTAGCCAGGCATGGTGGTGTGTACCTGTAATCCCAGCTACTTGGGAAGCTAAGGCACAAGAATCACTTGAACCCAGGAGGCAGAGGTTGCAGTAAGCCCAGATCGTGTCACTGCACTCCAGCCTGGGCAACAGAGCAAGACTCCATCTCAAAACAAAACAAAAAAAAGGCTGGGTGTAGTTGGCTCATGCCTGTAATCCCAGCACTTTGGGAGGCCGAGGTTGGACAGCTCATGAGATCAGGAGATCAAGACAATCCTGGCTGACATGTTGAAACCCCGTCTCTACTAAAAATACAAAAAACTAGCCAGGCATGGTGGCACACACCTGTAGTCCCAGCTACTCAGGAGGCTGAGGCACAAGAATCACCTGAATCTGGGAGGCAGAGGTTGCGGTGAGCCGAGATCACACCACTGCGCTCCAGCCTGGGCAACAGAGCAAGATTCCATCTCAAAAAAAAAAAAAGTGCAGGGAAAAAAGGATGTGATAACAGTATTCAGATAATGAGGAAGAGAAATCAGACATTAGGCTGCAAGGCAGAGGACTAAGTTCACTGGAGTTAGGCTTCATTTTCAACAGAGACGCACTTCACAGTAGCCGAAGTTGTCCAATGATGGATGGGCTGCTTCATGAGGAAGTATGTCTCACTTTGAAAAAGTTTGAATATTTGGTGCAATGTTTCCAAAGAGATTCAAACGTTGGATATGTTCTTAAACAAGACGGCAATCATAACCATTTATGGTTGATACTAATGCTAAAACAATAGGAATAACATTAATTGGGCACTTACTATTGATATGTGGTGCTCAGTGTTTTCTGTACATTATCTTATTTAAACCTTTACCGTAACACTGGGGTAGTTACATTACTACCATCTTAGGGGTGAAGAGTGAAGCCTTTTTGGTGAGTGCAAGTAAAAATCTGACAGGTCGAGAGACCTGATAATTGCATTATGGACATTGGAGGGATAGAGTAGAATGGCATGGTTTTTTTCC